>NC_000014.9:69763228-69914743 GCF_000001405.40 Homo sapiens | reverse complement strand
TGAGAACAGTCAGAAAGGTCTCATTAATAAGCATTACAGTTGGAAACCAGGTAAGACTTAGAGAGGGACAGATATCTCTGGTCACTGGGCATCTTCTCGCATGATAATGGCTACTTCACCAGACCTAGGCAGCTTTGTGTTTGTTTGTTTGTTTGTTTGTTTGTTTCCTTCCTACTGGTGTCTCCCACTTCTGATCGTGTGGGTGTTAAGGAGCATTTTGAATGTATCACTAAATAGACGAGGCAAGTAACAAGCAAGTCTGACTACTCTGAAGATGCCTTTTAGTTTTTTCAGGGGTCTGCAAACTACTGTGGGGAAATGGGTGCACAAATCTGGCCCAGCTCCCCATTTTTGTAAATATAAGGCTTTATTTACTTTATAACTTAGCTATGCCCATTCTTTTCTTTTACATATTAACTGTGGCTGCTTTTGCACTATAGTGGCAGAGTTTAGTATTTGCAACAGAGACCCTATACCCCACAAAGCCTAAAATATTTACCATCTGCTCCAGAAAAAGTTTACAGACCCCTAATTTATAGCAGTGGTTCTCAAACTTTAGGAGCATCAGAATCACGCCCAGGGCTTGTTAATGACAGCCTGCTGGGCCCCACGCCTAGACTTACTGATTCAAGGGGTCTTTGCTGGGGATCAAATCTGCACATCTTCAAAGTTCCTTGGTGATAATGATGCTGCTGGTCTAGTGACCATACTTTGAGAACCACTGGTTTAGGAAGCTCATTATACCCACATGATCAGGATCTTATTCATGACTCTGTAGTGAACTTGAGCATTTCCACTCTAACTCTAGGTTCCAATGTATAAACAGACAGAAGACATATACTCTAAAAAGCTTCTCTAAACAGGCAAGGAATGAGCCAAGGAGATAAGGAAACATAAACCTCATGTCATTCCTAGGACTCTTAAAACTCTAGCCAGGGTTTTTCTCAGGGCTGCTGTATTGAGCTAGCTTATTAGCAGCCATGAAAAGAAATTGATTTCCTCTTGCTTCAGAAGAGCATCAGAAGTCCCACACTCAAGAGCAAAATCGGATCAACAAATATTTCCACCACTGTGCCCAGGCTGTTTCATTTAAATCAATTCTACCCCACCAACTGCAGGGCCTTCTCCTGACACTCATGTATTCCAAGTAGGTTGGTCAGATTTACCAAATAAAAATACACAATGACTAGTTACTCTGAATTTTAGAAAAGCAAGGAATATATTGTTTAGTATAAGTGTGTCCCATGTACTGTTTGGAACACACACACACGCACACACACACACACACGCCAATTCATTGTTTATCTGAAATTCGAATTTAACTAGGTGCCCTGTATTTTATCTGGCAGCCCTAATGCTAAGGTTCCCTGAAACATCCAATCATATTTTGCTTATTTTGTCTTCCTAGGAAGCTGGTAAGGAGTACATAATTCACATGTATAAGAGTACATAGAACACTGGATATCAGTGGAAAATGTACCATGTTCCCACCCACAGGAGAAGACACACAGTCTAGCAGAGCGGAAAGAGATAGAGGAATGATTTTGTTACCCAGCAAGACAACCCTACAGATAGAACCACACAATCAAGGTGCCAAAGGCTTTGAAGCCATGCAGAGCTGTTTGCCCCCACACTCACTGGCCTTAAGCTATAATCTGGGTTTTTTCTACCCTTCTTCGTTGTCAAACTGTGCATGATCTGTGTCTCCACATGCCAGCCATTAGCCATCGTTCCTCCCACTTTCTAATTTGAAGCTTCCAGTTTTCAAAGGAACTGAAAGTAATAGGCTTATTCAAATTGTGTTTAAAGTGAAAAATAAACAGGCCTGGATATTTCCTAGTGAAATAAGGGAAAGCCTGACAATTTCTCCTAAGCAGAAAGTAGCCACACAAACTGAAGGTTAAAGACAAACTGCAGCCCGAGGAGGGACGCAACCAGGAGGGTGAAAGAATGCAAGGCTCTTCTACCATGGGGAAAAAAAAACTGAGGGCCTTTTCCTTTTCCCTCTCTCCTGCCTGGAAAGCAAGTGTTATGGCTGGAGCTCCAGCAACCATCTTGTGACCTTGAGAAAGCAAGCCACAACTGAAGGATGATGACACAGAAAGTGGGAACCTGGGTCCCTGGCCACCTATCACCTCTGAATAGTCTACAGCTGGAATTCCTTTATGTGAATGATGTATAATTATGCCTTGGCTGGGTACAGTGACTCATGCCTGTAATCTCAGCACTTTAGGAGGCTGAACACGGGAGGACTGCATGAGGCCAGTAGTTAGAGACCGGCTCAGGCAACACAGCAAAACACCGGCTCTACAAAAAAAATTTTTTTAATTAGCCAGGTGTAGTGGTGCATGCCTTTAGTCCCAGCTACCCAGGAGGCTGAGACAGGAGGATTGCTTGAAGCCGGGAGTTCAAGGTTGCAGTGAGCTATGATCATGCAACTACACTCCAGCCTGAGTGACAGAGCAAGACCATGCCTAAAATTTAAAGGAAAAGGAAATTGTGCCTCATCTATGGTTGAGCATCTGTTAACAGCAGTCAAAAATACAATTCAATATACTTGTGCTATTTACTTCTTTCAATCCTGACAATAGTGACTATACACATGACTTCATTTGGAAACAACATCCAAAACATTTAAATAGAAATGCAAATTAAAATCATAATGAGATACCACATACTATTAGAATGCTAAAAATAAATATAAATACATAAAAAATATCAACAATACCAAGTGCTGGCTAGAATGCAGAGCAACTAGACCCCTCATACATGGATGGTGGGGATGCGAAATGGTACAGTCACTCTGGAAAACAGTGTGGCAGTTTCTCATAAAGTTAGCCATACATTTACCATATGACCCAGCAATCCCACTCAAAGTATCTACTCAACAGAAGTGAACACTTATGTTCATACAAAAACCTATACTTTAATGTTTCTAACAGCTTTATTCATAATTGCCAAAAACTGGAAACAACCCAAATGTCCTTCATCTGGTGAATGCATGAACAAACCATGATACATTCACATCATGGAATACTACTCAGCCAATAAAAAGGAACTACCAATATATGCAAGAACATGGATGAATGGCAAATGCATTATAGTACATGAAAGCAGCCAGACTCAAAATACTACATAATTCCACTTATGTAACATCCTTTTAGAAAAGGTGAAACTCTAGAGAAAGAAAACAGACCACTGGTTGTCAGGGGTTAAGGTAGAGGGAGTCAATGAAAAGGAGCAAACAAGAGATTTGGGGTGCGGAGCAAGGATGGAACTGCTCTGTGTCTTGATTGTGGTGGTTACACAACTGTATGCATTGTCAAAATTCATGTAACTGTTCACCAAAAACTGTGTTGCATTTACTGTATATTAATTTTGAAATAAACTTTGAAAGTTTAAATATGTGATCTCTGGGCCACATGGCTCTCCTGGGCCTTCTACCTTGGGCCCAGTCTCAGTATCTGCCCTAACCTATTCCATCTCCAGCCTTTACCCCCAGGCACAGTCTGGATATCCCTCCAAAATCTAACACAGTGGTAGACAGAGAGGATTCTCCATCCAAATCCTGGACACATTTTAACACCAGCCACTAACTGGCACTCCTGAAACACAGAACAATAGCTATATTGTATGCTGCGCCATACAGGCCACTGCATAAACATTAGCAACAAGTTCCATGATGACTCCCTGCTACTGGCCTTTGCAGCTGCCCAACTCCCAGGACTTGAGGATCTGCCCAGGGTAACATGGAGTCTGGATACAGTTCAATGTGTCAGTCTTAAATCTATAGCTTATAACAGTCTCCGTCCTTGGAAACTCCCTGGTAATAACACAGACAACAGACCCGCTCCCACTAAAGTCCCCAGTCTCAGGCTTCCAAACAGCTATCCTTGATGGCCTCCCAGAGGACAGCGTACCCTCAAGTCCTGAATATCCAGGGTTAATCCCTACAAGTCAGGCCATGGAAAATCCGTCTGCTCAGGAGGGATCCTGACCAGAGGTGCATTTGACTTGACACCTCCTCGGCATACACACAGTCTGTCTCTCTTGACCCTATGCAGCTGCTGAGCCCAGTTTATTAAAAATTGAGTATCCAAGGCTTATTGCAATAGAGGCATTTTTGTCAACCAAAAAAAAAAAAATCCTTCAAACATAAATCATTTAAGCCACTCTCCACATTCTCTGGCATGAAATAAACAGAGGCTGTCTTATAGGCAGAAGGTGCCAAAGTGGCTTTGCCAGCTTCATGCCTCCTGCCTGGCCATCGTATACTCTACCCTAGATGTTCAAAATATAATAAAAACCTGTCCAGAAAGGTTTCTTCCCAACCGTTTCTTTCCACCCACCTGTGTGGGTGACCTGAATCTTGCTGTGCTGTGCTATTAAGGCAGCATGGTACATTGGAAAGCACAGGACTTTGCAACTAGACAGACTCAGATTCAAATCCAGACTCTTCCCAGGGGCCTAAGTACTTTTCTTGAATTCTCTGCACCTCGGTTTGCTCAATCGTAAGTGGGAATGAAAATCGGTTCCTTTTGCAGAACCAGTTGACAGAAATAAATGAGAGTCTATGTAAAACACCTAACATAGGACTTGATCCATAAAACATGTTCATCATATTAAATCTTTTTTCCCCTAAGTAATTTCCTCTATCTAGAATTGTTCCACATAAACCTGAAAACATAAGCTAACACAGAAAGCAGAGGCAGATGATCTGTCGCCAGGAGGAAACCATCTGCTCCAGGTTAGGAAACATGGTTCAAAGGAGTGAATGACATGTGAGCAAAGAAAAAGAAATTTGGTCTCCAATCACGTCCTCTTGACTAATAATCAATGGAGTCCTGTCCTGGGGAGTGCTAGACCCAAAAACCTCTGCTGTCTCACTCCCCAGTCCTCATTCTCACCCAGTTAGAATTATCTTTGGCCGAAGAATCAATGATAAACAAATTAAATGGCCAATATCCATGAGAATACAGATTTTTTAAGTGTTTTCATTGCTTCTACCTCCTAGGGTACCTTTGGAAAATACCCTGACATTTTCTGGAAGCTTTTTACACAGCATAACATAAAATCTAAGGTTGTTCTCCAATGGAAAATAGCTCTTTACAAAAACAAGAAACTGAGTATTCATTTAAGATACAGTCACAATTTTGAAAAGCTTTTACATAAATCCTTGCCAGAAATCATCCTTTCCCAATGCTACCCTCTGAGCTTAAAGCTGTTTCCTGGCCATGCCAAACTTTCCACCACCTAGACACTGCAGTGGGAACTTCGGAGGTCAGCATTGGATGTACCTGCCTGTAAACTCAAAGTGAAGTCCATCAGAGGAAATGTATTTGCTTAGAGAAGTCTACCACAAAAAATAAGGAAGAGCTCAGCCAATTCCTGCTATCAGACACAGTGTATTACATGTTCAGATCATAAGGCGATATTTCACACGCTGAAGTAAAATAACAAAGCATATAGAGTGAATATGCACCATGATTCAGGGACACCAAAAACTCACATATTTATGATGATATGCTGCTTGGTGCCATCACCAATAGATAATTTTTCAGCACTTGATAAAGTGCTGAGCCCTAGGAGTATGGAGATTTAAGACAGTCCCTGTCTTCTGAGTTCTTTCGGTATAGTTGGAAATATGGAGTCCCTGACCTGAAGGAGTCCACCCATAGTCTAGTGGAGCAAAGAGATAAATCTACAGTGAACGAGCCAATCCATCACCATAGAGGACTTTAGAAGAGGTGAGTATAAAGTGCTGGGAGGCAGAGAAGAAGAAGAGAGGGACATTTCAAAGAAACAATTGGGAGAATACAGTTCTTCCAAATAGACTTGTCTCACACACACACACCCCCACACCCCAGAACCTAAGATTAAAAGAAAAGAGGCAAGGAAAGAGAAACAAAACTGAAAAACAACTCCCCTACACTGTTTTGAGCCCAGCCTGCCCCAAGTCCTAATTGTACCTAAGGAGGTTACCACAATAAACCAGAATGATCTCCTCATCCAGCCTCCAACACTAATAGGAAGACCTGTCAGAGAGCACTGGAAGGCCAGCACGGCACCCACAGATCCCAAGGCACTGTCAAAAGGCCAGATGAGGAAAGCAAAGAGGATGCTGAGGCCCAGGCCCTCCCAGACCTGGCTAGCAGATTCCCAGGGGTCTACTGTGTTCTTTCCTATTCTTCGTCTAAACACAGGCTGTCCTGCGGCCAGAGTCTGTCCGTGTTCCCACTACCCTCCAGCACAGCAGCCACCAAGAAGATGCAAGACCTCATCCAAGGGTGTGAAACATCAGGAAAGGGCCACCCACAGGCTCACTTACCTGCATACAGGTAACTGTGCAATATTATAGTCAGCTTTCACATTTGAAGTGAGCACACACGCAGATTCAGTGGTTGCTTTGGTTTTACTAATTCTATTTATACACACAAGAAATACATGTTCCTTTTACACAAGGGAAATGAAAGTCTCCATAATACTGCCACCCAGAGAAAACACCCAGATCAACGTTTTGGTGTGTACTCTTTTTTCTGTGCATATTGGTCCTTTACAAAATGGGTCTCTACAATATGATGTTTTACAACCTACTTTTTTCCCCACACTGAATCCATTGTGAACTTATACATGTCAAAAACACAACACCATTTTTATAGATTTTTGTGCCATAGATCTGTGCCACAGTTGATTCACCTATTGCTGTGGTCTGAAAGTGTATGTCCCTCCAAAACTCATATGATGAAATCCCCACCCCCAATAGTATTAGGAGGCCTTTGGGAGGTGATTAGGTCATAGGGGAAGACCTCATGAATGGCATTAGAGCCTTTATAAAGGAGGCCAGAGTGAGACCCCTCACCCCTTCTGCCATGTAAGATTAGAGTGAGAAGATGGTTATCTATAAAGAAGCTCTCTATAAGGAACCTTATAGATAAGGAAACTCACCAGACACTTGTTGGCACCTTGATCTTGGACTTCCAGCCTCCAGAACTGTGAGAAATAAATTTCTGCTGTTTATAAGCTTACCCAGTCTATGGTATTTTGCTAGAGCAGCTCAAATGGACTAAGACACCTACTCTACTTGGGTTCATTCTTAATACTTCTCTTGTTTTCTGTCTTACCGAATGTCGGCTAATGAGAGGCACATTACCCTTAGAGCTAAAATAGTAGTTACCCTAAATTCTGGGCCCACACCTTTGTTGTCTCTACCCTTGGTTCATTACAAGATAAAGTGGGATCTGAAATTCTTCTCTTTTGTGTAACTACAAAGGGAGAACTAGGATCAATGGGTAGAAGACTCAGAAAGGTAAAATTATATTTAATAGACAAAGAAATCACCATATATTTAAGCAAGAAAATAGATAATCAGTAAGCATGTTACAGAAAGAATTTCTCAGAGTAGAGGCAAAAAGATGATATCTAAGATTCCATGTAGTAGGTTTTACCTTTTATAAATAGACAGTGAAGTTAACTAATTTTTGCTATCAAAATAATAATTCCTCCATGATAAGACATTAAATGCCACAGTGCTGCTTCCTGTGGTTGTTAATCCCTAGACTAGTTTTAAGTTCTGGCAGCCCAGAACTTAAAATAGTCATGGCCCCTAGCCTCAGAAATTGTCTCCTCCACCACCCATTAAACCTCCTTCCCTCTACACCAGAGGTTGTTCAAGAACATTTTCTCAGAAATATGACTGTTTCCACCTAACTCCTCCTATTTCCCTCAAGACATTCCTCTAGTAATTTTTTCCTGCTGCATCTCCAACCTTTTTCTCTTCTCAAATCTCTCTCTAACATCTTTTAAAGAAAAATTTTGACTTTGCATCTCCATCTAATTTCCACTGTTTCTGTCCCTTGTTTCATGGCCAAGCTTATTGAAAAAGTGGCCCACACTCCATTTCCATTCCTCTCTTTCATGGCAATCTTTGGCCTTCATGATGCACTGAAGATGTTCCTATTGAAGTCACTAATGGCTTCCTAGTGGGCAAATTCAGTGGATGTCTCTTAGGTGTTCACTGTCCTGACCACTTCAAGCCTTCCCTCTCTCTCAGTTGGCTTCCAACTTCTCTTGACTCCTCCTTTTTGTCCTTGTTCTGGTTATCTATTTGTATAGCAAATTTTCCCAAAACTTAGCAACTTAAAGTAACAATTTTATAATGCTCACAGATTCTACAGGTCAGGAATTCAGAAAGCACAGAGAAGGCATGATTTGTCTCTGCTCCACAGAGGACTCAAAGGCTAGGGTTGAATTTACGGCTGGGGGCAGGAATCATCTGCTGATATCTTCACTCACACCTGGCAGTTGATGCTGGCTGTCAGTGGGACATCAGCTGAGGCTGTTGGCCAGACGACCTACACGTGGCTTCTCCCTGTAACCTGAGTCCTTCAAATCATGGCAGCCTCTGATTCTTACATAGTGGCTCAGGGCTCCAAAGGTGAATGTCCTAGGAAAACCAGCAAAAGCTGTATCTTCTTTTATTACCTAGCCTTGGAAGTCTCCTAGCAGCACCTCCAGTGGAGTCAAAGTTTCCCAGATTGTGGGAAAGGAACACAGCCCTTGTCTCTCTGGGAGGAGTGTCAAAATCCCAAGGTAAGAAGGGCATGTGGGGTAGGGGAGATTGTTCCAGCCATCTTTGGAAAATGCAATCTGCTACAATCCTCTTCCATGATTTTTCTTCCTATGCCCAACTTAATGGTAGCATCATCTGGAGTTTGATCACTGACTGATATCACACTTTTCCCTGGTCAATTTTATCCACACCGACTCCCATCTACACATTGGTGATTGCTTGGTCTACATCTGATTTAGAATATGCACAAATATCTTCACTTAGATTTCTTAAGGTGTCTCAAATTCAACACATCCAAAACAATCCTTCTTGGCCCCTCATCAAGTCTGCTTCTCTTTCTGTACTACCCAATGTGATTCATGACACCACCTAATTTCTGAAGTCATCTAAGTAAGAAAACAAGTAGGCATCTTTGATTTCTCCCTTTCACCTTCACCCTTCCACATCCAACTGGCTGCCATCTTTCAACAATACTGCCTGCTTGATATTTTCAGTCCTTCTTTTCTTCAACCCCACTATCAACTCATTGACCTTAACTCAGATGCGCATGGTCTCTAGGTGGGTTTTTGTAATTAATTCATAAGTGGTCTCCCAGCCTGGAGTCTTGCACCCCCTCCAAACTACTCACTGCTTGATCTTTCTAAAACATTATTCATGTTACTCTCCTGCTTAAAATTCTGTAATGATGCCCACTGCCTACAGCACCAAGTTGACGTTCCTTTGTGTGTAGGTGCCTTGTCCCTCATGATGGGTCACCACCTCCCTTTGCAGCTACCCTCCTTCTATTCCCTCACAATCAACCTACATCACAGCATCCTGAACTTCTTGCAGTCTCTAGAACATACTTTCTCATACTTCTATGCCTTTGCACATGCGTTCCCTCTGCTTGGACGTTCCTCTCCAACTCCTGCCTTAGAAATTCCTGCTAGGTGTCAAATACCTACATCAGGCGGGACTGCTTTGACTCTGCCTTCAGAAGACTCTCAGCCCCTATGTCCTATGTGTTGCCATAGCACCTCTTCCCATCATCATATTGTTCTTACACATAACATTTTCACATGATGTTATCATTTGTTTGTATTATCATCACCATTCTGACCACCATCACGATATGAGTCTGTATTTGAAAGGAATGCTATCAGAAAACACCCCCTTCATTACAGGCAACCCGTTACAAACTTGATAACACATCAAACAAGACATGATTCTGTCTAGTGTTAAGAATGAAATAAACATGATGGGCAGTGGTGGGATGGTGTTCTGTGATATCCTGCCACCTTCAAGAGGAACAATGTTGAAGGATCGCTGCTAAATCTGGGCTACCAACACTGCATGGGAGGCATCTCCTCATGTTTTGGTCACCACAACCCCATGAAGGAAGTATGATTACCTCCCATTTCACCTATGAGACCGAGTTTCAGACAGGCTCCATGATGAGCACAAGGCACTCAGCAGCAGGTGGCAGAGCCAGCCTTTGAGCCCACGAAGGTCTGACTCCAGGGCCCATGCTATTGCACTGCCTCTACTACTTTTCTTAGTCTCAAGTAGCTGATGCTTCACCTCTCCTGGGCATTTTCAGGACAGATCAGTAACCCCAGAAGTCACATGTGTGAGAGCCTATGAAGAGGAGCTACAACAAGGCTGAGGAATGCCAAGTGCTAAACCCCATAAGTGACCAGTAGAGAAGGATCTGTTGAAAGGTCTTCCCTTAAGGGCATGTGCTGGAGAAATCCACCCCTTCGGAGACAGTGGCACCATTGTTCAGATAAGTTACACAAACATGAGCAAGAACTAGATCCCACCAGCAAGAGAATTCACACATGCATGCATGCTTGGCAAGTGAAGCTCCAGATCAAGGCAGCTGGTTTCACTCATAGGTGGGAAGAAGTTCCACAGAGGTACATTTCTGATAAGGTTTAGTTCATTACAGAAGTGTATCAGTCCTGACTCTCTGTTGTGAATGACAGAAAATAAAATCAAATGGACTCAAGCAAATAAAAAATTTATCAGCGAATTTATTAATGTATAATGAGCCACCCCCAAGACCTTGTGGCTTAAAATAACAACTCTGATTCTGTGGGCTGATGGGGCCATCCACCTGCTGGTTTCACCTGGGCCCCCCAGTGCAGCTGCATTCAGCTGGAAGGTCAGCAAGGCTGAGGTCCGAGACGACCTCACTGACATGTGGGGCAGCTAGGGGACTTCGGTTCTGCTCCACGTGACCTCTCCTCCTCCAGTAGGTTAGATGGTTTTCTTTCTTTTTTTTTTTTTTTTAATTGATCATTCTTGGGTGTTTCTTGCAGAGGGGGATTTGGCAGGGTCATAGGACAATAGTGGAGGGAAGGTAAGCAGATAAACAAGTGAACAAAGGTCTCTGGTTTTCCTAGGCAGAGGACCCTGGGGCCTTCCGCAGTGTTTGTGTCCCTGGGTACTTGAGGTTAGGGAGTGGTGATGACTATTAACGAGCATGCTGCCTTCAAGCATCTGTTTAACAAAGCACATCTTGCACCGCCCTTAATCCATTTAACCCTGACTGGACACAGCACATGTTTCAGAGAGCACCGGGTTGGGGGTAAGGTCGTAGATCAACAGCATCCCAAGGCAGAGGAATTTTTCTTAGTACAGAACAAAATGGAGTCTCCTATGTCTACTTCTTTCTACACAGACACAGCAACAATCTGATTTCTCTATCTTTTCCCCACATTTCCCCCTTTTCTATTCGACAAAACCGCCATCGTCATCATGGCCCGTTCTCAATGAGCTGTTGGGTACACCTCCCAGACGGGGTGGCGGCCGGGCCGAGGGGCTCCTCACTTCTCAGACGGAGCGGCTGCCGGGCGGAGGGGCTCCTCAGTTCTCAGACGGGGCAGCCGGGCAGAGACGCTTCTCACCTCCCAGAGGGGGTCGCGGCTGGGCAGAGGCGCTCCTCACATCCCAGACGGGGCGGCGGGGCAGAGGGGCTCCCCACATCTCAGACGATGGGTGGCCGGGCAGAGACGCTCCTGACTTCCTAGACGGGATGGCGGCCAGGAAGAGGCGGTCCTCACTTCCCAGACTGGGCAGCCGGGCAGAGGGGCTCCTCACATCCCAGATGATGGGCGGCCAGGCAGAGACGCTCCTCACTTCCCAGACGGGGTGGCGGCTGGGCAGAGGCTGCAATCTAGGCACTTTGGGAGGCCAAGGCAGGCGGCTGGGAGGTGGAGGTTGCAGCGAGCCGAGATCACGCCACTGCACTCCAGCCTAGGCAACACTGAGCACTGAGTGAACGAGACTCCGTCTGCAATCCCGGCACCTTGGGAGGCCGAGGCTGGCAGATCACTCGCAGTTAGGAGCTGGAGACCAGCCCGGCCAACACAGCGAAACCCCGTCTCCACCAAAAAAAATACGAAAACCAGTCAGGCGTGGCGGCGCGCGCCTGCAATCGCAGGCACTCGGCAGGCTGAGGCAGGAGAATCAGGCAGGGAGGTTGCAGTGAGCAGAGATGGCGGCAGTACAGTCCAGCTTCGGCTCGGCATCAGAGGGAGACCGTGGAAAGAGAGGGAGAGGGAGACCGTGGGGAGAGGGAGAGGGAGAGGGCTAGATGGTTTTCTTAAAGGGTGGTCTCAGGGCAGAGGTCCCACAGGGTGAAGGCAGAAGCTGCAAGGACCCCAAGGCCTAGTCTCCACAACTCACACAGTGTCACTCCCACCACCTTCAAGAGTCCAGGCAAGTCACAAGGCCAGCCCAGATTCAAAAGGTGTGGAAATAGACCCCATCTCTTAATGAAAGGAGCCACAAAGAAACTGTGGCTATATTTAATCTACCGTAGGAAGCTACTGGCTCATACAAACAAGAGATTTAAGGAAGCTTTTAGCAGAGTGGGATCCAGGTGTTCACAATATATTATAAGAAACCTGTCTCTTTCCTCTCTCAGCTTTCTTTTGCTCTGTGTTGGATTTATTTTGAAGCAAGCTTTTCCTTCATAGTGACCAAATAACTACCAATGACTACAGGCCTACATCTTTAGAGCATACAAACCCCAGGGCTTGTCTTTCTCCAGAGTTTCAATAAAAAGTCTCCAAATTGAATCCACTGGTCCAGCATAAGTCACATGACCATTCCTAAACCAGAGGAGGGCATACACTGATCAGGCCTGGGTCATGCATTCACCCTAGAACTGGGAGGTGGGATCAGTCCACTCAAGTTATGAAGAGTAGAGTGAGGGACGGTGTTCCCCAAAGGAAAGTAGAGATTCTATTGCCAGAAAAGACAGAGTAGAGGCTGGGCAGACCAAAACAACAGATGTTTCCTACAATAGGCATCTCAAGATGGTGACAAGGCAAAGAGCCACCAAAGAATGCACTGAATTTCCCTCTCCCAATGCATCATGGAATTTTGCCAGCTGACAAGTCCCTGTTTCCCAGCGGGGTGGTGTGTGCACCACTGAACAGCTTCTTGTGCATTTGAAAAACAAAGACATAGGACAAAGCCTTTTGCAATATGCACTTGCACAATTCTTCAATCTGGCAAAAGATATTCTTTCTCAGACATTTGTCAAATTCCTCCCTAAGATGTCCTACCCTAATAGGAATCAGAATACTTTTAACTCAGAGTTTTTTTCTGGAACAGATGCAAACACAACATCCCCCTTACTTTCCACAGCCCCATTATAGGCCAACTCATAAAATCTTAGAAGCAACTGGGCCAGAACTACATGAAGGCTGAGGGACAATGTGAAGATGTGTGCCATCAGTAAATTAATAATTCCCAGACCACCTCAGATAGTTCCATCCCCAAGAATATTTACAGTTTAAACTGCAGAAATTAGGATATCCACAACAAGTGAATGAATGAGTCAAAGGCTGAACAAAGGAGTGAGGAAATGAGTCAAAATGCACCTCCTGGTTAGAGCTGTGCTTCAGGCCCTGAACAAAGATGGTCAGAGGGCAAATGTACCTTAACAATTCAAGCAGCCCTTCTCTTTGGACCCTCATGGACTATTACTAATTTATGCTATAGCACTTCTCTTCATCTTCCTGGACATCTCCTGAGTATGGGAGAAGGAGCTGAGAAAAGATATCTCTCATTTTAAATTTCATCACATGGTATAGCAGTTGCATGTGACCCTTAAGACTTGGTCTTCCATGGAATTGGACATCATCTTTTTAGAACTGCAGCTGCCCAGTTGAGATTCCCAATTTCATGTCAGTAAAGGAGCAGCTCCAACCCAAAAACAAGAAGAGGGTAAGAAAAATCTGTCCTCGAAGAAGAGGATAAGATTTTGCTAATAATGGCCAGTTACAGGCTGGCATGACTAAAGGTCATGCTAGACCAGGCCATTGTGGCATGTGGCCATGAGTTTAATCAGCTGTGGCAAGCACAATGATGGAGAAGTGCAATTCACCTTGTTTTAGCAATAGGGAATGCCTGGTTATCAGGTTTCTCATAATTAACACAACAGGAGAGCCTTTGGGTGTTGGGGATAGGCAAGAACATGTTTGTTTTCTTGACACCTTCCAGCACATTATTAAGCTGTGAGTAAACACCCTGCTGCCTGAAGTAAGCATCTCAGGTCAATGAATCTCTGTGTGTCTCAGTTTTCTCCTCTGTAAAATGGGATGATAATAATGTCTTTGTCATCAGAATAAGATGGATTAGTATGTGCAAAGGGGCTTAGAAAAGTACCCGGCACATAAGAAGAGCCAGATAAGTGTTATAAGTGCTGTCCATTATGTACTGCTCCATAAACGAGGGACTATCTCGTTCCCTGTTGTATTTTGTTTCCCAGTGCCTAGAACACTAGCTGGCACATAGCAGTAGCTCAATAAATTTTTGTAGAACGTGTTGATTTGAATAGCAGAAAACACTAGCGCTGTGCCGGGTTCTTTGCTAGGAGTTTCAACATGAAATAAATGGCACACACACTCCCTACCCTCAGCCACATCCCATAAGGACTAGGTAGTTGGGTGGCTGCTTCCCACATGGCTGGCTCTAGGAGGCACAGGTGGGCCTTCCTCCTCTCTTCCTAGGCCTCCCTCTGCATTGACAACTTTAGCAAAGCACAGCCACATGAGCAGGAACTGTGAAAAAGTTTCCATAATCCACCACTGAGCACACTCTGTTTGTGTGTGTCTGGAGTGAATAGAAATGGGTATGGCGAGTATGTAAGAAGCTTGGTAGCCTCCAGTCCATCCTAACAACAAGTAAAAAGCTGAACAAACTGAAAATCAACAATTCTCATTTCACATGGCAAACCACTGCCCCCAAAATTGGACAGACAGGCAGATACAGAGAATCACAGCTTACCAGGGCAGAAATCTCCACAGGAACCAGTATGGTAAGAAAACCTAAACCGGTATCTAAACCTCAACAGTTTAGGTAGGAAAGCCTAAACTGTAACTGACAACCTGCCAGAGGCTCAGGAGGAATAAGTCTGAGGGTCAAAAACTGCAAGGGCACCTAGACTTAGGGGGACTTCCACATTTTAGTGAGTTTTACCTCCAGGAGCCCTACCTGGTTCTCACAGTGAATATCAAAGAAAAATCTCCTTGCCATTTGTATTAGTCCGTTCTCACATTGCTATAAGGAAATGCCTGGGGATTGGACAATTCATGAAGAAAAATGTTTAGTTGGCTCATAGTTCTACAGGAAGTATAGTGGTGTCTACTTCTGGGGAGGCCTCAGAAAACTTACAATCATAGCGGAAGGCATAAGGGAAGCAGGAACATCTTACAAAGTTGGAACAGAAGGAAGAGAGCCAGAGGGGGAAGGTGCCACACACTTTTAAACAACCAGATCTCATGAGAACTCTGTCACGAGAATAGTACCAAAAGGATGATGCTAAATCATTCATGAAGGATCCAACCCTATGATCCAATCACCTCCCACCAGGCCCCACCTCCAACACTGGGGATTACAATTGAACATGAAACTCGGGTAGAGACACAGATCCCAACCCTTCCGGCAGAAGAGGGAGAAGGCAGCCATTTTGAACCACAGCAAAGCATTCTGTTCCCGTAACAAGGCCTTTGCCATCAGGAGAAACTATTTTACCAGAGCCTAATCTGTTGGGATTTTATCAGAGACTAACCTACCTGGGAGAAGGGAAATAAACTCCAGCCCACCCTAGCCATCATGCTCCACCTAAGGTAGGGGGAAACACTGAGAAGCACTTACGAAGTTCACAGCCCAAGGGCACAGGCTCACCAAAAAACTGAGACCTAATCATAGGACTATAGAATGCTTCTCCTCCCCCCACATCTTACCACCACATCACTAAAGGCCTATTTACCACAAGTCCTTTTGCCCAATACGTCATGGCTGGCTTTCAACAAAAAATTACAAGGCATACTAGAAGGCAAACAAACAAACAAAACACACAGTTTGAAGAGATAGAGCAAGCATGAGTAGCAGACAAACATGGCTGAGATGTTGGAATTATTAGATCAGGAATTTTTTTAAAACTATGATTAATATGCTAAGGGCTCTAATGGAAAACGTAAACAACATACAAGAACAGATAGGTAATATAAACAGAGAAATGGAAATTCTGAGAAATAATCAAAAAGAAACGCAAGAGATCAAAAACACTATAAAAGAAATGAAGAATTCCTTTGATGGGCTCATTAGTAGACTGGACATGGCAGAGGAAAGAATCTCTGAGCTTGAGGATATGGCAATAGAAACTTCCAAAACTGAAAAGCAAAGAGAAAAAAGACTGGAAAAAAAAAACAGAATTGAATATACAAGAACTTTGGGAAAACCATGAAAGGTATAACATGTATAATGGGAATACTAAAAGGAGAAGAAAGGAAGAAACAGAAGAATTATTTGAAGCAATAGTGACTGAGAATTTCCCCAAAATTCATGCCAGACACCAGACCACAGATCCAGAAAGCTCAGAGAGAACACTAAGCCAGGTAATTGCAAAAAACAAAAACCCTAGTCATATCATATTCAAACTGCAAAAAAAATCAAAGATAAAGAAAAAAATCTTGAAAGAAGCCAAAGGAAAATACACCTTATGTATAGAAGAGCAAAGATAAGAATTATATCCAACTTATCCTCAGAAACCATGCAAGGAAGAATAGAGTGTGGTGAAATACTTAAAATGTTGAGGGGAAAAGTCATCAACCTAGAATTCCGTATTTTGCAAAATTATCCTTTAAAAGTGATAGAGAAACAGACTCTGAGGCAAATAAAAACTGAGGAAACTTGTTGCCAGTAGACCTGCCTTGTAAGAAATGTTAAAAGAAGTTATTCAGAGAGAAGGAAAAAAAACATAGCTCAGAAACTCAGATCTACATAAAGAAAGAGCATTAGAGAAAGAACAAGTGGAGGCAAAATTAAAACTTGTATTTATTATATTCTCAATTAATTTAACAGATAATAGTTTTTTCAAAATAATAATATTAGCAACAATGTAGTCCATGAGTATAGCTTACATATAAGTTAAATAAATGACAGCATGATACAAGAGATGGGAGAGAGGAATTAGGAATACTTTATTATAAGATATTTGCACTACCCATGAAGTAGTACAGTGTTACTTGAAAGAGGACTTGGATTAGCTGTAAATGTTTATTGCAAACTCTGGGGCAACCACTTCGAAAAGTTTTTTTTTTTTTAAGTATAATTGCTACACTAAGAAAAGAGAAAATGAAATCATTAAAAATGCTCAATTAAAAACACAACTGGCAGAAAAATGAGTTGAAGAGAAAAATAGGCAGAAAGAACAAGAGCAATAAGTAGAAAACAGTAGCAAATATAGTAGATATTAATTCAACTACATCAATTATCACTTTAAATATAAATGGTTCAAATATACAAATTAAAAGTACTTAGAAGAAAAAAAAGTAGGTGTGGCTGGCCCAAGCCACCTTATCTGGAAATATCCCTCCAGGAAGTCATGCTAACAGCAAGGAGTTATTGTTTCTGAACTGCAGTTCTGAAAGAGACCTGGCGGGATGGTGTGTGGTTACACAACAGGCTCTGCCTTTATTGGCTTTCCAACCCCCAGACAAGGGGAAGGCTCATGTGGGTTGAGAGGAGGGGGGGCCAGAAAAGCCAGGCACTGCCCCTCCAGTTCCATGGAATGTTCCTGGATCACATCTGGGAACATATCGAACAGTCACTAGCCTGACCCCTGATCCCAGAAATCATGAGGAGGGCACATCAATCAGCAGGACCTTCCACTTACCTCCTAATGGCAAAACTGTTTCTCACAGTCTCACAGACTTCCTATGATTCCTCACCGTCTTAGAGAAATATGGAGAAGGTGATCAGGACTACTCAAGCTTCCTTTAGATGCTGAAGTCAGGAAAACAGCCTACCATGCCAGGAAAAGGGAAAAACGAAAAGAGACTTCAAGAAAGACAGAGCGTCCAGTTGCCTGGAAGAGAAGCCATAGCCACACGGCACATGGAGGAAGACCATGCCAAGGAACATCCTCCCTCCACTGACTTCCATTTAAAAGGATCCTCCTGACCTATATCAGATTGGGAAAGTGAAGGAATTTGATTTATTGCACACAAAAAATGAGCTTTATTTATAAACAAAAGGGAATAAAACCACAGATTATAAATTTTCAATGTATTGATGGTATTCTTTTAGCTTTAGTTCCAAGGGGGAAATCTAATTTTGGGTTCTTACAGGGATCTCTCATATTTTCTTGTTACAGCTATTATTTTTATGAATAGTTAACATTTATTGAGCTTCCTACCATTACTTCATTTAAGCTCAATTACCCAGTGAGTTAAATAATATCTTTCTTTTCTTGAAGAGGAAGCTGAAGCATGGAGCTTAGTTCATTTGCCCGAGAACACACAGCTAGAAAGTGGCAGAGCTAGAAAGTGGCTTTTCTGAGAAAGATACCTAATCTCAGGTCTCTTTGACCCCAAGCCACTATGCTACACTGCCCTCTAGGTAGGCAAGAAAGCAGGCAGCTAGTCAAATGGTATTAGCTCAGACTTCTATCCTCCAGCATTGAGATGGGAGGTGAATTTCATTCACAAAGTAGATGCGGCTTTAAGAAAAGAAAGGTACACACTGGGGACCAAGTACACTGGATCACACCTGTAATTCCAGCCCTTTGGGAGGGTGAAGTAGGAAGACTGCTTGAGCCCAAGAGTTCAAGATCAGCCTAGACAATATAGCAAGACTGTGTCTCTTCAAAAATTTAAAAATTAGCCAGGTGTGGAGGCACATCTTAGTTCAAGCTACTCAGGAGGCTAAGGCATTAGGATCATATGAGCCCCAAGAGTTCAGTTGCACCCCTGCACTCTAGCCTAGGTGACAGAACAAGACCCTGTCTCAAAAAAAAAAAAAAAGAAAAAAAGAGAAGGAAGGAAAAAAAAAGGTACAAACTGGGAATCAGCAATATTGGGACCAAGGCTGTGAGCCCAGTCTTTTCCTAAGGCTCTACCTTGATGGGGGGAAAGAAAGTACAATGCCATACCACCAGGAAAAGTTACATGGTCCTCAAAGCCAGGGAGAAGACAAGAAGTATGGAATGATGCATCCTGATCTCTGTTCATTTCAGCTGTCAATCTTCCCGAAGGTTTTCCGAAGTCACTGGCAGAGATGCAGGGAGAAAGTATCCAAAGAAGGAGGACCCTGGTCACTTTCAGACCCTCCTCAACAAAAACAAAGGGTTTCTACTTCTACTCTCAAGATGGGTATTGATTTTAAAACCCACCTAGGAAACTATCATGTCGACCTTCAGATCAAACATGCTCTCACTGCTGCAGAGCATTTGCCATTCAGTTGGGTGGATGTTTACATTGATCTCATTGCTATTAACCAGCATCAAGAGTCCTACACCAAGATCTACCTTTACTTCTTCAAACAGAATCGCTGGCTACTTGTTCTATCAGCTCTACTTCACATTTCCTAACTGAAACCTTCGACACTGGCGGAAACCAGAAACTCACCCCTTTTCAGGAAATGAGAATGCTATGAAATGCATGCATAGTCAGGTGGCAAGGACGGGGAAGATTCCACATGTTCTGAGGTTTTGGTCACCTTTCCCAACCACTGGAAATTGGTGAATTGGCCAAAGCCAACTTAGAAACACAATCCTCTACAAAAATTCAAGCTATTTCCTCCCCATAGCTGGAATTGTGCCACTTTTCCAAGTGTTCCAGGGCATCTTTGAAAGGAAAAGGCATGCACAGAGCAATAAAGGGACATATCTAGAAGCTGGCTCTGGCTCTGCCACTAGCTGGCCAAGTGCACTGGGGATAGTCCTTAAACATCTGTAAAATGTAGGTATCTATGGGAATCTTTCAACTGCGGGCCTATTATCCTTATTTTGGGCTTTCTGGAATCATCTTCACATGGCCTATCTATTCTATTCTGAAATTTTCCAAACTCTTTCTATATTTCCTTTTTCCTGTCAGCTCCAACTCTTGGAACATCTGCACTGGGAGGACCCTGGAAAATCATTTAATCCCCTTAATAGATGAAGCAACTGGTCATGCAGTAAGAGGGAAGCCCCCTCTCCGGGCTCTGACCATCCACGTCCATCACCCTTCTCACCACACAGCCCACCCCACCATTCCACTTGTCTCCAAATGTCACAGATCCCAACACAAATCCTGTGGTTGTTGCTCCAGCATCCCTTCCACTCTCTTACCTTGTCCAGTAGCCATGTGGTCAGGAGAAGCTAACAGGATTAACCTGACCCCTTGTCCCAGAAATGGGTAACCCTATCTCCCACCGCTGCCACAGTGATTGGTCTAAGAAACCTGGGCCCAAGTCGAGCATGGCATTCTCCTGGCCAAAGGGATTGGTTAAAAGAATGGCTAAGTTTCCTGAGACCATCTAGGAATGAAGACTCTCCACCTTCTGAGAGAGCTACTGAAAGCTAATTCTCTTTTCCCTCTTCTAGAAAGGATGATGTTTAGATAGGAAGGATGGAACCATTACAGCCATTTGCCCCCATGACAAAAGCTGGACTTGGGATAAAACATGCACCACACAAGGCAGAGGGAAGCTACATAAAGACACTGTATATTTGATGATGCTACTGAGCCACTGAATCAAACCACCTCTAAAAGTCACTGTATTAGTTTGCTAGGGCTGCCATAACAAAATACCACAGACTGAGTAGCTTAAATCACAGAAATTTATTTTCTCACAATTCTGAAGCTGGAAGTTCAAGATCAAGATGCTGGCAGGGTTGGTCTCCTCTCTGGCTTCTCTCCTTAGCTTGAAGATGGCTACCCTCTTGCTGCCTTATCACATGGCAATCATGTCCCTAGTTTTTCTCTGTGTTCTAATCTCTTCTTCTTATTCGGGCACCAGTCAGACTGGATTAAGGGCCCACCGTAACAGACTCATTTTAACTTAATTGTTTCATCAAGGCCCTATCTCCAAATACAATCACATTCTGGGTCCTAGGGGTTGAGACTTCACATGAATTTGAAGGAGATAGAATTCAGCCCATGGCACCTGTCTTACCTCTGTACTTTCTGCTACTTGAGCCAATGAATCTCCTTCACTGTATAAGCCAGTTCAAAATGCATTATCTGTTTCTTGTAACATAAATATCCAACTGATATAAATATACCAAAGATCACACAAAAAGCAAATCTATAGTTACATCCAAAAAACCTCCCAATTAGCAGTAAAAAGTAAAACCAGCTCCTTTATGCTCTTACCACTTCAACCAGAAACCAAGGTGGTTCCCCTCCCAAGGCCACCAACCAAGAACTCAGGGCATAGTTTCCCCCTCAGAGCTTTGCAATCGCATGCAGCCTCCCCACTGACAGAGCCTTGAGAAGGGAACTTTAGCACTAAACCCCCTTCTCTATCCCTCCATGGCAACACCAGAGACAAGGAAAATAATGGCAATGCCTCCCGAAAGTTAGAATCTCTTTTCAGTAGAGCCTGTTACTTGTTTAAAAATCAGTGAATTAACAGGTCTAGCAATGATCATCAATGGGTGCTAACATCACAGATGTTGTATGTCTCCTGAAAGAAGCACACACCAACTCCCATGAAATATACTTAAAAATATATATATCAAACCTACACCTGATCAAACCTATTGATTTAACTATCATTTTACGAGAAATATAAAGGATAGAGAAACATGTTACAAAATGCAAAAGAAATGCAGGCAGCAAAATCTAGTGCGGAAACTCCAGAAGACCTGTTTACTCAACAAATAAATTACAAAGTGAAAAAGAGGTAGAGGAGAAACTCATAGATTAAAAGAGACTTAGGAGACAAATCAACCAATTGCAATATGTGGACCTTATTTGGACCTTGATTCGAAGAAACAGAATAGCATATTTAAGGGATCATCAAGGAAATTTGAATGTTGATTATTTGATTGTATTATATTACAGAATTATTGCTAATATTTTTTGGTTGTGGTATGGTATCATGGTTAGGATTTTTAATGAATCCTAAACTTTTACAGATATATATGAAAATGTACAGATGATAAGACACAATATCAGATTTGCTTCAGAATAATCTGAGCAGGGGAATAGGGAGATGTTTGCTTCAAAATAATCTGAGCAAGGGAATAGGGAGACTGGTAGAAGAAACAAGATTGGCCATGAGTGGTTCATGGTCGAATGTGGGTAAGGGGTCCATGGCAATCCATTGTACTAGTCTCTCCTTTTGTGTATATTTGGAAGTTTTCATAACAACAAAAAAAAATTTAATGACTAGATAGGACCCAAAGATGGACAGTCTAAGTCCTTTGCCAAGTTCTAGTGTCATTTCCGATACAGCTTGCTTACCAACACGTTTTAAATAAATTTCCCCAATTACCTTCACAGAATCTTCCAGTTGGCATATCTTCTTTCCAAATGTTACTGGAATTTCTGAAGCATGGAACAAGTATGCTCTCCAAAGGATTACATTTAGAAGTTCCATTCAGAACATACTAGAGAAACTTACAGCAAACATTAATCGGTGACCAGTGTGTCATGCATTTGTTGCTGCTTGTGCAACCCAAGTCTCTAGAAATTTATTCACCCTAATTTCTATAATCTTAGTAGAAGGCCTTTCTCAGCCTGACACCAAAGACAGAAACCATAACAATAGATTAGCCACATAAACATGTAAAAGTTCAGTGGATTGAAACCCTCGTCCTTTCATATAACATACTGAGACAGGCATTTGCCAGACTTGACAGAAAAACAGATTAATATCTTCAGTATTTTTTTTAAAAACTTACCATCCCTATTTTTTAAATTAGCCAAAACCCTGGGCAGGTAATTTACAAAAGAAAGGAACTAATTTAGGATTGGCAGATACAATAAAAGATACTCAGTTCAATTTCAATTTCAGATAAACAATGAATAATTTTTATGCGGGTCATACTTATGCTAAAACATAATTTGTCGTTTATCTGAAATTCCAATTTACCTGGGCATTCTGTATTTTTATTTTCCGACTTTGGAAATCTTAAACCGACGGTGAATAACTTGGAGAAGATGAAGAAGAACCTCATTCATGATCATCCAGGGAGGGCAAGGATGACAGGCAAGCAGAGGCCTGGGGAGGGCAGAGACGAGCACTAACGCTGGCAGGCACAGGCCGGGAGAAGGCAGCAGCAGCCCCTCCTGGCCCTGAGGAGGGTAGGAGGGAGACGCCAGCAGATGCAGTTCAGGGGGTAGGGAGGGAAGAGGGATTGCAACTTCGGTTAAACACCCCTGAGCCTGTCCTTCAGATGAAAGGAAAGTCATGCTCAGCTTCATGCAGCTGAGAACCCCTTCCAGAAGCATCACTTTTAATATTTGTTCTTAAACCCTGTTTGTGCTCTATGTAAATGTATTTTAATATCTTATGAAAAATGTATAATGTATTCCTTAATATATACAAAAAGGAATTTAAGAATATATGTATTCACCACCCAATTTAAAGACAAACAATATTACCATTCAATCCAAGCCTTCTATGTGTCCCCTGACATATTCCAGTTTGCCCTACTTAACAATTAACCTGAGCTCCACACAGCATTCATCACTGCTCTTAATTTTATTTTACATTTTTTACATCTAAACAATATAGCTTTTGCATGCTTTCAACCTTTATGTAAAAAATAGCATTATGTATTATTCTGCAATTTGCCTTTTTCATGCAACATTGGTGAAATTCATCTGCAATAATGAGTACAGCTTTAGATTAGTCATTTTCAGTACTGTGTAATAGTTCATTATTTGTATATACTTTAATTTATTTTTCTATTCTTCTGTTGGTGGTCATTTGGCTAATTTCCCATGTTTTACCACCACCAGAAAATGCTGCTATGAACAGTCTCGAACTTATCTCTCCATATACATTAGAATTTCTCCAGGGTATGTACCAGAGCAGAATTACAAGGTCAAAGAGTGTGTACAACTTCAACTGTAATTGTACAAAGTTATACTAATTTATATTCCCACCAGCAGCAATAAATATATTTTTTACAGTTATGTCCTGCTGAGGTTAATTGAAAACTCTCCTTTAAAGCAGTCTGAGCTCAAAGTATGCTGAAAATGAGCAGTCCTGGCACTAATAGTTACTAGCCCTAAAAGTTAGCCCAACGTGAATACAGGCCAATTGTGTCAGATGTAGACTGAATGCCAGGGTGACTCAGGAATCAGGATGGGCTGAGGCAGGTTTAGGGGGCATTTTTCAATCATGCATGTTTTAATCTTTATTATTTTGCTCTAAGATTAAAAGATGCTCATTGTAAACGAAATTGTGTTAATAGTTACCAAAATGCATCTCTTGGAAATTGAACATCCCCATGATCACCACCACCAACAGCATGACATACAATCTACCTAATTTTTTAACACATAAACCATCTTTCTTTTTTGCCTAAATGGGATCATCTATTCCCTTTTTTGCATATTACTTTTTACTATCCAATATATCTTTATAAGGAAAGACATATCTACCTTTATTGAAAATTCTATTATTCAATAAACATTTATTAAGCACCTGCTTTCGGGCAGGATGGAGTCTATAAAGAAAATTAAGCGACTTCATCATTAAGAGGCTCCTACCCTAAAGGAAAGAAACTAACAGATGCTGGTCATAATGATGGCTTCAATTGTAAAGCACTTTCTATGAGCCAGGCACTGTACCAGGCCCTTAATGAATGTGGTAGGCAGAATCACGCTCCCCACAAAGATGTCCATGTGCTAATCCTAATAATGCTATGTTACAGGGCAAGGAGGTTTGTTCTAATCAGCTAAACTTAAAATAAGGAGATTAGTTTGAATTATCTGGGTGGGCCCAGTGTAATCACAAGAGTCCTTAAACTGCAAAGAGGGACACAGAAAATTCAGAACCAGAGAGACCCTGGCAGCATGAGGAAAGATTTGGCCAATGATTGCTAGCTTTAAAGGTGGAAGGGGCCACAAGCCGAGGAATGCAGGCAGATTCTAGAGGCTGGAAAAGGCAAGAAAATAGATTCTCTCCTAGAGCTCCAGAAAGGAACTCAGTCCTGCTGATTTTTTTAGCCCATTAAGAGCCATGTCAGACTTCTGATCTGTAGAAATTTGTGTTGTTTAAGTCACTAAGTTTGTGTTCATTTGTCATGGCAGCAATAGAAAGCTAATACAAGGCACATCATCCATTTTCCCCACCACCCTGGAAAAGAGGTGCTGTGACCTCCATTGGACAAATCAGGGAACAGAGGACCTAAGAGGCCAGATTACTAGCCCGGGTGCCCAACAGCAGAGCCAGACTCACACTTAAGTCTGTCTGCCTCTGAGCCTATGCTGAGGCTGCTCCTGGTTGGCTGGGATACAGGGAAGATGGTGACACATGCCATCATAGGGGTAAGCAAATGATTCTTTGCTTAAAGGAAGCTGAGAGAATTCTTCCTGGGACCAATCTAGAAGGACTGCGTGGAGGTAACATCTGAACCTTTTGAATGATGGGCAGGATTCTGACAGACAGAAATGGGGAAGGAAGGAGAGATCAGGAAGTACAGTGGTTCAGCCCTGCTGAGGTCTAGGGCACATGGGGGTATCCAGCAGAAGGTAAGGTTGGACACACTGGTCAGAGTCCAGCACTGTCCAATATGATAGCCACCAACCACATGTGGCTATTAACATTCATATTTACATTAATTTAATTTAATTTAAAATTCAGGTCCTCAGTGTACTAACCACATTTCAAATATTCAATAGCCACATGTGGCTAATATTGGACAGTGCAGTTATAAAACATGTCCATCCTTGTGGAAAGTTCTGTGGATGAAGAGAAGTCACTGGCATCATCGTTTTTAAGCAGGTCACTGGCACTTTGGAAGGAGGAAGTGAAGGAGTAATACACGTCCTTTTATAACACTCCCTATCTCACTCTTTTATTTGTTATCTACAATGTGTCCTCTCCCCAGGGGTTTGGCAGAAGTTTCAAGAATAAATGCATAATGAACATCCATAAAAATTATTTAAAACTCCCAGCACTGCCTTAGAATGCATATCTAGTTCTAAAAATAAACCACTCTGGGAAGCAGGTCCAATTTTTCTCCACTGTCAATACTTTAAAAGAAAAAAAAAAGGCTTTCAGCCCTTATCTTATAGAATCCAATCAACACCGTAGTGTAAAATAGATTTTAAGGAGGCGAGGCGTAGTTGTTCAAACCTCTAGATAATTTGTCAGGTTTCAAAACACATTATGCCTGACCTCATGGAACTTTGCTCAGTCCCAGTGCTCCCTGGTGGTGGGAAAGGCTCTACTGAGATGAGAGCTACCTTTCCTGTCTTAGAGAGGCTGCCCCATTCTGACTCAAAAAAAGGATGCTGAAATCAACCAAGGTGACGTCCAGGAAGTATGCAGAGCTCCATACCTAACAAGCTTAGATGTGGCCAAAGGTAAGATTATTTTGTGATCTAGCAACTGAATTCCGAATGATGTTGGATGCAAAAGAAAACCCTATAGTCACCTATGTTGCTTTGGGGTCTTCATGGGGACAGTTGGAAGTGATTCATGGCAATCCAATCTCTGAACCTCTCAGTGACTCATGACCCATGCAGAGCACATACTGTACAAATCTAACCCTGTTTGGCGGCCTCACAAGCAGCTCCGATTTATTTCTCATCCGCAACTCAACCTTTGTCCTCCCCAAACATGGAAGGAGGGGGCCCTCCACACTGACATCCTCTACCACTAGCAGCAATACCAGGACTTGGCTGCCTAAACAATAAATCTCTATGTGGCCCAGAGAGAAAGGGTGCCCTGTACCTGCTAAGCAGGACCATGCATCCCACCCCCAGCTCCTGCAAAAGGCGGTGAGGGGAGGTTGGAATAAAGACAGGCATCAAACTAGAAACAGGCCTTCCCCTAGTCCAGACACTACCTCCACCCACAGGCCCCACTGGCAAATAAAGTTTCTGACCCATGCATCAGCTCATGAACACTTCCACTCTGCAGGGTGAATCACCCTGAGCAAGGAAAAGGGAAGACTGCCCACTGCCAGCTTAGCTTTACAAATGAGCCCTTAGGCCACCTGATGCAGACGTTTATGCCAGGGCCTGGGTCTGCTCTGGGTCTAGAAGCCAAAATCACTCCCCAGTGGGGTTATTTTAGATAGAGCCACATGCACATCTTGAAAGGTGGGGAGGAAGCAGAAGGTGGCAAGAAAGGAGTCCCTTACTCTGGGACTTTTTGTTTGACCTCACATGCAAAGAATTGAATTAATTTTAATCTTTGGCTCATGATACACTCAGCATTGGTTTATGCAGGGCTCACTTTTTTATCAGCTATTAGATCTTGAATAATGGACAAATGCCTTTAGCCCATCCTCCCTCTCCCCCAAAAAGGTAGAGTATCAACACCAACCCACACCAACCATATGGTTTTACCCATCCTATCCCCCTGCCTCACCCTAACTTCACCCTGAATCTGTATCCATCATTACTTTACTATGCTTTTCATAGCATTTTGTTGTAGCTGTATGTAGTCCTAAAAACTTTTTTTTAATTTTAGTTATTTATAAGTTACTGTATCTTTTGGTAATTTTCTTTCACTTAATATCATATTGCCAAGATTTATCCATATTTTTGCATGTCACTGTTGTTCACTTGTTTTGGCTGAGTATAATTTTACACTGTGAATTCATCACAGTTTACTCATCTGCCCTCCCACTGATGAGCATCTGGGCTCTTTCCAGGCATGTGATATTATAAACATAGTTGCACAGGACATGAGTTTCTCCTGGGCACATAGAGCCGGAGTGGAATTGCTGGGCCATAAGAAATGTGAATACTCAACTTCAGAAGATAATTAGATCATATCAATTCTTTTCTATTTTGATTGCATTTCCTAGAGATTCTAAGATGATTGTTTCCTCTTCCTGTCCTTTTGTTTCTATAAATTTCACATGTCAGCTCTACCAAAATGTTTAAATCTGGTCCTTGGCCTAACACTTCAGTAGCACTTCAGCTAAATCCCCCCATATGGAAAAGAAGGATTCTTGTCAGGGGCACAGATAATAGGAAAAGCATCTAAGCAGACACAAGGACCCACCCTGGACCAGATGCTGGGATGGGCTAGTCAAATGGAAGGAAACAGTTTAGAAGCTGTTTCACTCTTGGCAAATGCAAGATACAAAAAAGGACTGGGGAGGAGCTATAAAGCCAGTTTCCCTATTCAAATTCGCATGTTGAGTCTCTCTTCCCCCAGCCTTCCTGTAACTACCAAACACACTTATTTTTAAACAAAGAACAAAAACTCAAAAATGGAAAAGCCAGTTTGTAAGTAACCAATTTCAGATTTAAACAACAGCAGGGGTTCAGGTTGGACATCATTATGCAGTCCACTTCATTTCAATATATATTTACAGAATGCTTTACAATGTGACAAGCACCCTGATGAATGAGGTCTCTATTCTGTCCTCAAGGGGCTTGCAGATTTGTTCATTTAACAAAACAGATCATGCATGAAATGCTAAAGGGCCAACTTGGTGCAAAGAAGAGGAAGATGCTGGCCTGATATTAAGATGCTCACTGCAGGAGGATTAATACAAGTTAGAATACAAGTGGACCAGATATAGAAGTTGTTCAAAGGAGCTCTCTCCTCCCGCTGCCCAAGATGCCGAAAGGAAAGAAGGCCAAGGGAAAGAAGGTGGCTCCGGCCCCAGCTGTCGTGAAGAAGCAGGAGGCTAAGAAAGTGGTGAATCCCCTGTTTGAGAAAAGGCCTAAGAATTTTGGCATTGGACAGGACATCCAGCCCAAAAGAGACCTCACCCGCTTTGTGAAATGGCCCCGCTATATCAGGTTGCAGCGGCAGAGAGCCATCCTCTATAAGCGGCTGAAAGTGCCTCCTGCGATTAACCAGTTCACCCAGGCCCTGGACCGCCAAACAGCTACTCAGCTGCTTAAGCTGGCCCACAAGTACAGGCCAGAGACAAAGCAAGAGAAGAAGCAGAGACTGTTGGCCCGGGCCGAGAAGAAAGCTGCTGGCAAAGGGGACGTCCCGAAGAAGAGACCACCTGTCCTTCGAGCAGGAGTTAACACTGTCACCACCTTGGTGGAGAACAAGAAAGCTCAGCTGGTGGTGATTTCACACGACATGGATCCCATCGAGCTGGTTGTCTTCTTGCCTGCCCTATGTCGTAAAATGGGGGTCCCTTACTGCATTATCAAGGGGAAGGCAAGACTGGGACGTCTAGTCCACAGGAAGACCTGCACCACTGTCGCCTTCACACAGGTGAACTCAGAAGACAAAGGCGCTTTGGCTAAGCTGGTGGAAGCTATCAGGACCAATTACAATGACAGATACGATGAGATCCGCCGTCACTGGGGTGGCAATGTCCTGGGTCCTAAGTCTGTGGCTCGTATCGCCAAGCGCAAAAAGGCAAAGGCTAAAGAACTTGCCACTAAACTGGGTTAAATGTACACTGTTGAGTTTTCTGTACATAAAAATAATTAAAATAATACAAATTTTCCTTAAAAAAAAAAAAAAAGAAGTTGTTCGAAGGAGAGAGTAATCGTTCCTAAGCAAAAAGAATGCTCTGTAGAAAAGTTCCTAGAGAGTAATGTTGGAACTGGGTTTTGAAGGATGAATCAAGTGATCAAGAGGTGAGAGAAGAAATAACAAATATCTAAAACATTTAAGAAATAAGTTTCAGGTTGAAGAATACACAAATGAATGGAAAGAGATGTCACGTTCATGAATTGGAAGAGCAAATGTTGTGAAAATGTCTATACTTCCCAAAGCAATCTACAGATTCAGTGCAATCCCTATAAAAATACTAAGATGTTCTTCATAGAAATAGAAAAAAAAACCCTAAAATTTTTGTAGAACCACAAAAGACCCTGAATAGCCAAAGCAAAGTAAAAAGTAACAAGAACAAAGCCAGAGGCATCACACTATATGACTTCAAAATAAACTACAAAGCTATAGAACCAAGACAGCATGGTAATGGCATAAAAACAGACACATAGACCAATGGAACAGAAGACAGAGCCCAAAAATAAATCCACGCATTTACAGACAACTGATTTCAACAAAGGTACCAAGAACACACAATGGGGAAAGGAAAATCTTCAATAAATGGTGTTAGGAAAACTGGATATCCACATGCAGAAGAATGAAATTAGACCCTCATCTCTCACCATATACAAAAATTGACTCAAATGAATTAAAGACTTAAATGTAAGATCCAAAACTATGACACTATTAAAAGAAAACATAGGGGGAAAGCTCCATGACTTTGGTTTGGGGACCTCAAAAGCACAAGCAACAAAAGCAAAAATAGACAAATGAAATTATACCAAACTAAAAAGCTTCTACACACCAAGGAAAACAATTAACCAAGTAAAGAGATAACCTAGAGAATGGGAGAACATATTCACAAACTGTATATCTGATAAGGAGTTAATATGCAAAGTACACAGAGAACTCAAATCACTTAATAGCAAAAAAAACAAAAAACAATGCAATGAAAAAATGGGCAAAAGATCTGAATAGGTATTTCTCAAAAGAAGACATAGAAATGGGCAATAGGTATATTTAAAAATGCTCGGCCGGGCGCGGTGGCTCACGCCTGTAGTCCCAACACTTTGGGAGGCCGAGGCGGGTGGATCATGAGGTCGGGAGATCGAGACCATCCTGGCTAACAAGGTGAAACCCCGTCTCTACTAAAAATACAAAAAATTAGCCGGGCGCGGTGGCGGGCGCCTGTAGTCCCAGCTACTCGGGAGGCTGAGGCAGGAGAATGGCGTGAACCCGGGAAGCGGAGCTTGCAGTGAGCCAAGATTGCGCCACTGCAGTCCGCAGTCCGGCCTGGGCGACAGAGCGAGACTCCGTCTCAAAAAAAAAAAAAAAAAAAAAAAAAAAATGCTCAACATCACTAATCATCAGGGAAATGCATTCAAACCACAATGAGATACCACCTCACTCCAGTTAGAATGGCTATTATCAAAAAGACAAAAAACAACAAGTGCTGGTAAGGATATGGAGAAAAGGGAGTTCTCACATACTGTTGGTGGGAACATAAATTAGTACAGCCATCATGAGAAACAGTAAAAACATTCCTCAAAAAATTTAAAGCAGAACTAGCATATGATCCAGCAATCTCACTGCTGGACATTTATCCAAAGGAAATGAAATCAGTATGTTGAAGAAATACCTGTTCTCCCATGTTTATTGCAGCATTGTTCACAATAGCCAGGATATGAAATCAACCTAATTGTCTATCAGTGGATGAATGGATAGAGAAAATATGGTATATATACACAAGGAATACTATTCAGCCACAGAAAAGAATGAAGTCCTGTCATTTGCAACAATGTAGATGAACCTGGAGGACGTTAAGAAAAGTAAGCCAGCCACAGAAGGACAGATACTGCATAATCTCACTCATATGTGGAATCTAAAAAAATTGGTCTCATAGAAGTAGAAAGTAGAACAGTGGTTACCAGAGGCTGAGGAAGGAAGAGGGGAGAGGGAAAGGAGAGAGGTTGGTCAAAGGGTACATAATTATAGTTAGAGAGGAGTAATAAATTCAAGAGATCTATTCAAAGTGACTATAGTTAATGACAAGTTATTGTATCCTTGAAAAATGCAAAGAGTGGATGTTAAGTGCTCTCACCACAAAAATAATAATTATGCGAGGTAATGCTATCATTAATTAGCTAGATTTAACTATTTCATAATGTATATATACTTCAAAACATCATATTGTGCACAATAAATACATACAATGCTATCTGTCAAATTTAAAAAATAAAAATCCATTTCTGACTCAGACCTCTTGATCTTCGCATCATCTCCTATTTCTCACACTTCTTAAATCTAGTTCCTGCCTCCAGTCAAAGTGGAACCTGTAATCACTCTCAAACACACATTATCTGCATTTATTTGTTCATTCCATCAGTACCAACAAAGTAAATCTTGACAGGTGTCTGGCCCCTTGCTGAGCTCTGGAGATAAATCCCTGGACAAGACAGAAACAGTTCCTGCCTTCACCCAGCTTTCCATCTTCAAGGGAGACACAGAATTTAACAAAGACAGGCAGTTGGCTTGACCATCGGCCAGACACCATCAGCCAGGGAGAGCCCCTCCCCCATCCCATCCTCCCCTGAAACATTTTCAGTAAATTGTGCAGGATTAAAGAAACGGCTGCCTCCTCAGTGATTAAAAGAATCCTGACCAACGTCCCAGCTAGCCAAGCAACCACTCACAGTTGAGAGACCCCAAAATCAGGTGCTTCCTACATAATAGCCTCCAATCTGATACTCGATAGCCGCTGGTTTCCAGAGTCAAACAAATGTCAAGAATTTTATGAAGGAAGGCAGGAAGCAAATAAGGGGGCGAGGACTGGGGTCTAGGCCTCGGGGGAGCTCAATTAGTGAGCCAGATAAAGTTAAACTGAAAGGGCATGCTCTTGGTTTCCTAGAAAGCCAGCTGGAAAAGATGCCAATCCTTAAGCCTCTGTCACTCAAAAGATTAACAGAAGAGACTTAGGAGCGCCCACAGGGAATAATGCAACAAGCCAGATGTTTCTGCTCCTCGGATGACGCCGCTCTCAACAACCAGAGCTACACTTTTGAGGCCCCCAATAAGCCATAGAAAAGAACTGGAGTCTTTGGGGATAGGTTGAAATTCAGTCATTTGCCTTAAGTGATACAGACACCAAAAAAATATTAACAATTTCTCTGCAGACTCCCCTGATGTATCCGGGTTCTGTATTTCTCATCGAGCCATCTCTTTCTTTAACAGAAACAGCATCACTCGGATGAACACTCACTATAGCTGCCTGGTGGTGGGGAGAGCACACAACTTTTCAATCCATATAAACTGGAAGCTCAGGCAAGTCGATTGGCCACCCTGAGTCTCACTTTGTCATCTGTAAAATGGCTTTTAAAAGACCCAACTTCTTGTTCTCGTTCGAGTAAGAGATCATGTAAAGTGCCCAGCCCAGATGTTCATAAGTGGTAGCTCTTATTGTTATCTATAAACACAACCAGGTAACCACATGCTCGAGACAGCACCTTCTCCTTGGTACTTTCTAAACACACCAAGATGTGTGTGCACATGTGTGTGTGTGTTTGTGCATGTATGTATTTGAGTGAGAGAGAGAAAGAGGGAAAAAAAGAAAGAAGGAGAGAGAGAGTGTGAAGCAGCTTGGACATACACCAGCCTATTTACAATTCCTGCTTACGTTCCATCACTTCTATCAAATTAATAAACTAGAGGAGCTGGAAGGAACCTAACCACGGTGCCTGATTTCCCCTCAAGTCCCTAGCTTTCCCCTAAAGGTTGCTTCCTCTGATTCCAGGAGGCCAGGAAGGAGAGCCATATGGCTTGAGACTCTAGACAAGCCCAGCAGCAAACAAACGAGCCCCCCACCATTTGTCTCAGGGCCTCTCTCCTTTCGACCCTCCTGTGGGCGGCCATCCAGATTTCAGTCGGGGTGCTCTGGTCTGCATCTCTGTCTTGACTGTTCCTAATTATTGGAGGGAACGCATGGCTCGCCTGACCTCAGAGTTTAAGAGCTCTGAGTCCTAATATCAAACCAAGCAGCTTCATTTAAAAGGCATCCTCATCTGCATCCATAAAAGTCACTCCTGGAGCCCTTACTTGCCCCAGCTTTGGGAATGCCTGCTGTCGAGGATTTATGACACGCCCTGGATCTAATCTGCCACACTTTAACTGCTGCTGTTGCACATCTGGTCATAAAAGCAAGGGCTGGCCCAACACGGGGACAAACACTTTTCTTTCCTAAATGGCTGCAAATCTGATCTCACAGTGATACCTGGGCTTGGATGTAATCAACCCAGCATCTGGGCAGTCATTAAGACTTGTCAAGCATTGCAAGACTTTTTCTCCACACGACAGCTATAAAGATGATTCTCATATAGTAAAAGCTATGAATAAACAACCTGCAATCTGAACAGGTGGTAAAGGGCCAGGCCCAAGGATGTTCAAGAAAGAAAGCACGAGTTGGTTGAGCCAACCTTGTTTTCACAAAGATCCTAGCTACTTTCACATGGACTCTCAGGCTGCCAGTTAAGAGTCAATTGCCCTGACATAAACTGATGCTTGGCCAGAGATTGCCTGGATTAAGTTTGGTCAAAAGAACCACTAGGTCGTTTAATAGTACATGTTTCAAGGCAGTGAAATTCTTTATTAGACCAATTGGTGGGGGGTGTTGCGGGGATAATCTAGACCAGAAATGAACACAATACTGTCGGTTCCAGGAGATTTTACAATGCCCTGGACAATCTGTCCTGTGCACAGAATTGGCAGGTTTCATGTCGTTCAGAAACTCCAATCAGACCAAGGTTCAACGAGTAATTCAACCTCCCAGCACTGAACCCAGGGGGAGAGACCCCTGAACATTGCGCAACTCTCCCCTCCCACCTCTTTACAGTACCCCACCTCTGACCCTCTTCCAGTGCCTGCCCGGCAGGAGGTGACATTAAAATTATCTGCTGTGGGTTTTACGAGCAGTGATCGCTTTTTAAAACAACAACACAAGGTCCTTGTGTGGCTCGCGGGTAACCTAAAACTCTCCAGGCAGAGCTGCACCCGCCCCCGTCCCAACCCCCGCCGCCTGCCAACAACTCCAGCGCGCTGGACCGGGCGCCAGCGTGAGACCACAGGGAAGCCCTGCATGAGCGGAGAGCGAGCTTCTCTCCGACGCAGGAGGCACCTCTGAGGGTCTTGAGCAAAATGCAGGAGAGAAGAGATTGGGAAAGAAAACCCACCAGTGACAGTTCGGGGACAGGGGAGGGATGGTGGGTCAAGAAAGGGAGAGTGGTGGTGGCTCCAATGGGAGAAAAAAAATATTTCAGCAACTTCACCAAGCCCGCAGGGGACCTGGTAGTAGACAGAGGACAACAGGTCTCTGACATCTCTCTTCCCCCTCCTCCTTCCCTCAGGGATGAGGGGGGAAGCAACCTCCCCTCCCTCCGCAGGTGGGCGCAAAGCTGGGGGCGCACTTACCCTGGGGCCTGTGGTGCGGTGGCCGCGAGCAGGGGACAGCTGCACCAACACCAGCAGCAAGTGGGGCGTGAGCAGGCGGGCGCAGCGCGCGGGCAGCATGGTGCCAGCCAGGCTGGGCAGCCGGCAGCGAGCGGGGTTCGCGGGCTCCGCGGGGCGCACAGCGCGCCTCCCTTCCTTCCTTCGCTCGGGGCCCTCGCGGCGGCGGGGAGCGGGCCGTGGTCCTGCGGCGGGGGCTCGCAGAGGCTGCGGTCAGGGGACACAGTCATGAACCGCGCAGGAGGGGAGCTGGAGCGCGAGCGTGTGCTCTGCGCGCGGCGCTAGCTCCGCTCGGCGGGGCCCAGGCGGCAGCAGGTTGGACGCCTGAGCCCGGGCCATGGGAATTCCCGTTATAAACCCCCGGGAGGGGCGGGGCGGAGCACGGCGGGCCTGATTGACGGGCCAAGAGGCCTGTTGAAGCCGACCCTCTGGCAGGTGAAAGCCAATGGGAGAGGGGCAAGAGGAGCCACTCGTGGTCAACCCCCCGCCGAGGAGCTCCGCGGGAGTAGGCCCCGGGAGAGAGTGGGATAAAGAGTAACTTTCTCCCGGCACTCCTGCCCGAGGAAGCCTGAGAGAGCCCCAGCAGCCGGCACCCACCAGAAGGCTCACCTGGCTAATAATAATGCCTTAAGCATGTATATTTCTTAGCTCAAGCTCGTGATTGTCCCAACATCCTGGTGAAGTAGGCAGGGAAAATACTCCTAGCCCCATTTATCAGATGAGAATGCTGTGACACGAAGGCGCCGAGAGATCTGCCTCCCTGCTGCATCTGGGAAGAGTAACTGGGAAGTCGCTGGATGACCCGCACAGGGTGGGCTGTGGCGTTGGAGTGGGGAATGGGAGCATCCACTTCTTTCAAAGACTCTCCCTGGGAGGTGACATCCTGAGTCTCACAGCGGCTGCCCCGGGAGAAGTCGCAAGGGACAAGGTGAAGCGTGTGCTGGGCATTGGCCGCTGGGGAGGGCCTCTTGGGTACGGTAACCCCCTACACACACACACACACACACACACACACACACACACACACACACACACACACACATCTCCCAGCCCTATGGTCCGTATGATCCAGGATTGGAACTCAGGCATCCTAGCTTCCCCCTCTGAACTGGAGGGCAAGGGGCAGCCTCTCTATAGCCCAGCAGCTCTGGAAGAGGCGGGCAGAGAGGCCCTGGTCCCCTGATGGGAGACAAGGAGGAAAAGTATAGATGAGGAGGCGGCAGTCTGAGGATGCAGAGATCCCAGAGATGGGGTAGAACAAGGAGAGGAGATCTCTCCCGGGTGCCCGACCCTCTTGGAGAGGACAGCTCAGCGGAGCTTCAGTCAGATGTTGGGGGGCTCTGCCCAGGGCCATCCCCGGAAGGCCATCTTGGGAATGGTCACAGCTGCATCACACCGGCTCCTCAACAGAGCAAGGTGCTCAGCTGCCTTCAGTGAGACTGACATCTCCAGGAAATCACAGGGAAGGGGGCGGGGGGGCGCAAAATGAAACCCAGAGCGATCTCCTTATGTGGAGAACAACCTTTAGTGCTTACTTCCATCAGTATGGGCTACTTCGCAGGGAGGGATTCTTTTCTATAATTTGATTGTAAGCATCAGTGCCACACTCCCCCTCCCTATCTGGTCTGAGAGGTCCTAAGATTAGCTCTGCTCCCTCAGGGCTTCTCTCCTGGATTCCATGAAACAGCTTCGCACCTGACTCCTGAATTCAGTTTTGCCCTCTCTCCACACTGGCCCCATCCAACCTCCACACGGCAGCCAGTGTGTCTATTCGCTATTTAGAAGCCAGTGATCCTTTTAAGCAGCAAACCGGAACTCACCATTCCCTGCTTAAACGACTTCCCCTCTCCCCATTGCCCTCTGACAAGAAAGCTCAGACTGGATGCTGGAACAATAACAAAGTACTTGTGGTTCTCCAAACAAAAATGAAGCGCACTTCTAAAAGAATGGTCTATCTTTTCCTCCACTGGGAATGAGTGCTTTGGTCAGACAGACTCTGGAGCTGTACAGCAGGGTTCAAATCCTGAGTCTGCCACCTAGTGGTATAAGCTTGAAGAAGTCACTTGACTCATCCAGGGTCCCGTTTTTCTCTCTGTAAAATGGGGATAAAAATAGTATCCCCTGCCATGAGATGTTGTCAAAAGTAAAGGAGATGGAGTCTTTAAAGCCCTTAAAATAATTAAGTGAAAAGTATCACAATATGGCATTTGAAGAGGACAGGACAAATGCCTCATCTCATTTTATCCTCAGAACAATCTTCTGAAATAGGTCAGACATTCCTACTTTACAGGTAGATAAGTGAATACTCCATGAGATTGTGACTTGCCTGGCCTCATTTGGCTGGCAAATGACAGAGCCGAGACGCCGAGACTCAAGGCAAGGTTTTTGGAGTCTAATTCTGCTTCCATCATGTGATGGCTGCAATCTCCAGTCTCAAATCCCATAGGGTTGGACGTTCCTCTGTGCTAATTGGGAATTTCTTCAGTGGCCTACAAGGTGAACTGAGACTGGTGAGCTCCACTGAGCTTCAGAGGAAAAGGATGTAAACATCAGGGGTCAGCCCTTCCTGGAAACAGCCCTTGTGACCTGGCATCCTGGAGTTTGCCCAGCTGGACTTGTGACACTTGTCCAGTACCGTGCCCTGTGCAGCACTGACATCAATATCCATGTGTCCACCTAAGTGTTCACCCTCCAGGGGCTCAACAGGATGGAACTGTTACCATCGGGCTCAGCAGTGTGACAGGCTTTTCCTGACTCTACCACCTGGCTACATTCACCTATCAAGCTGGTCAACTCCTTCCTGTTGCTGGAACTATTGAGAAATCTGCTGGAGTAAGTAAATATGCTTCAGATGGCCCTGAGTATCTGGCAGCACAAAGTGCCCAGGGAAAAAGCATTGCAATAGCCCTTTCCATCCCTAACATCAAATGCTGCTTTCCAGCCAGAAAGCTTATTTCCAAGTGTTCACTGGTCCAAAAATCTACATTATTCTGGATTTCAATCATGTAGTTTAGTTCAAACTATGAGCAACTGCTTTCCAGTTACTCTGCTCAGCAAGTATTTTCTTTCCCTCTGGTTGGCATATGAGGCCTGTTGTAACCATGGCCATCATTCAGATGATGCATTTTCTTCTCCCAACTCCTCCCAAGCCCAGAGAAGGTTAGGAATTCCAGAGAACCACTAGTCCCAAACAGTATCTCTCTGCCAGGCTTAATCTTCTGATCCAAGCAAAAAAAGTAAAATTGACAAGTTTCTTCTTTCCCTGGAGGCCAGACTCATGGTCCAAAAATAATCTGACTATCTTGGCATCTGGTTTGTCCAGTTTCAGTCATACTCCTTGTCTTGTGGGACTTCTATTTGCAATGGGATATTTCAGTAGATGAAAATTAATACTTTATATCACAGATTGAGGTCTGAAGGCCTCAAATATTTAGTACTAACTAGAAATGCCAGTTTCAAATATATCTGTGTTTCTGGCCAGGCGCGGTGGCTCACCCCTGTAATCCCAGCACTTTGACAGTCCGATGTGGGCAGATCACTTGAGGCCAGGAGTTTGAGACCAGACTGGCCAACATGGCAAAACCTCATCTCCACTAAAAATAGAAAAATTAGCCGGGTGCAGTGGTGTATGCCTGTAATCCCAGCTACTCGGGAGGCTGATGCAGGAGAATTGCTTGGGAGATGGAGGTTGCAGTGAGTCAAGATCATACCACTGCCCTCCAGCCTGGGCAACAGAGCGAGACTCCATCTAGAAAAAAAGAAATATATATATATATATCTGTGTTTCTATATAATCCAGAGGATTCTTTCCTCATCTCATCTTCAGAATAGAATCTTTTCATCCATTTTTAGTAAGCACTTTGATGCACCTCCTTCTACGCCTTGCACAATGTTCATTATTATGATGGATCTTTGGATGCACACCCAGCCCTCTGAGAGGTTACCATCTAATTTAAGACACAGACCAGAGAGATACCTGGGGACCACATTTAAGAGTAAAGCTGGCCAGGCACGGTGGTTCATGCCTGTAATCCCAGCACTTTGGGAGGCCGAGGAGGGCAGATCACAAGGTCAGGAGATGGAGACCATCCTGGCGAACACGGTGAAACCCCATCTCTACTAAAAATACAAAAAATTAGCCAGGTGTGGTGGCGGGCGCCTGTAGTCCCAGCTACTGGGGAGGCTGAGGCAGGAGAATGGCGTGAACCTGGGAGGCGGAGCTGGCAGTGAGCCGAGATTGCGCCACTGCACTCCAGCCTGGGCGACAGAGTGAGACTCCGTCTCAAAAAAAAAAGAGTAAAGCCTGCAGTGTGTTGTAGGAACTCAGAGTGAGATGACCCACTGTAGGCCTAATGGGCAGGAAGGTCTCATGATGGAGGTAGATCCTGAATGAGGCTCTGGAGCAGAGTGCTTCTATAACATAAATATATCCTGATTTATATTTGCTTCATTTGTTACAATAGCTACCAATGGAAAGAGGTACACTGTATCTAAGGTCCAAGACTTTTGTCAAAAACACTAGTGAGCTTAGAAGCTTGAGACATTAAGATTCCTAGGTTCTGCTTTTAGATTTATGACTAACTTGCTGTAACCTTAGCATTAGGCTAAGGTAAGTATTATTAGTCCCAGTGTGCAAATGAAGTTTACCCGCAGACATTTAACCTTACCAAAGTCACTCCTTTAGCTTTAAATACACATGACAAAAATAATTCGAGTGACAAACAATTTAGAAATTTAGCTCTCTCTTTGGTACACAACTCCATTGAAAGTTTCGGGCAGCTTCCTCCAAGCCAGGCTCCTTCTATTATTTCTCTGTCATAATAAGCAGCTCTACCTGGTGGTACAAGATGATTGCTTAAGCCCCAGCCATCATATCTATTTTCCAGCCAACAGGAAGGAAAAAGAGGAAAGAAGAGCATGCTCCTCTTTTTAAGGACACCTCCCAGAAGTCACGTTTCATTTTGTCTCATTGGCTAGAACTTGGTCATATGACCACATTCAGCAAAAAAGGGCTTTAAAAAATGTAATCCTAATTGGAGGTGACCACATGTGTACAGCTAAAAGTCAACGTTTATGTTACTAAGAAAGGATACAATTCTGGGACACAATTAGAAGTAGAGGCCATCCTCATGAGTCGTCCTTGAGTTGCCAAACAAAAGGAGGCCACAGCATTCAAGCTGTGGTTTACCTCTAGTTCTGCAGACCCAGCTCCCTGGTACTCGAAAATATTAATGGCTCTTATGGACTAAATATGTCTCCCTGAAATTCATATGTTGAAAGTCTACCAGCTCCATGTGATGGCCTTGGGAGATGAGTCCTTTGGGAGATAATTATGATTAGATGATGATGATATACAGTCAAAAAAAAAAGGATTAGGTGAGGTCATGAGGGTGAAACCCTCATGAATGAGATTAGTGCCCTTATAAGAGTCACAAGAGAGTTTGCTTTCCCTCTCTGCTCTCTGCCATGTGTAGATACAAAGAGAAGTTGGCCATCTGGCCTCACCAGAACCCAACCATGCCAGCACCCTGATCTTGGACTTCCAGCCTCCAGAACTGTGATAAATACATTTCTATTGTTTGTAAGCCACCCAGTCTATGTTAAGGCAGCCTGAGCTGACTAAGACACTGGCCTTACTGCCAGACACCCAGACTCTTCGTGGCCACAAAAATTTCCTTCTGGTATTTCCCTTAGGCACGTTCAAGTGGGAGGAACTGAGAACATACTGGAATGAAGCTCAAGCCATGTGGTGCCAGGCTGGCAAGAAATAAGCCCCTAAAGAGACCAGTGGTCAGTTATAGTCACTGGGAATAATGCACATCTTGTGAAAATATTTTTGGCAATTGTCTATATTCTTCTGTTTCTATTTATTTCCCCTCCCTCTTCCACCTATAAAGGGATCTTTCTCTTCACCGGGTTGTTTTTCTGTAACCTAGTTCAAAATTAATAATAATAGTTGTAGCAACTATGAGGGCTTAGCAAATGCCAAAAATGAAGACCTTAGTATACACTCTTGCATTTACTCTACAAGGTAGGAAGCATTATTTTCTCCATTTCACTAATGAAGACACTGAGACTATGGGAGGTTAAATAACTCACATAGCCAGAAACAAAGAGCAGAATAAGAATCAAACCCCAATCCACCTTGTTATGAGGGTGGAGGGTACTAAAAGCTAACCTTTTGCTAAGCACTTTCCCTACTTTATCTCATATCCTCAGACCCAACTTATGAGGTTGTTACTATTGGTCCCATTGGATAGATGAGGAACTGAGGCTTAACAACAAAGGTCAAATTTACCAAGGGCAGTTCTTAAATTTTGCATTCACATCCAAAAATTTGGCATCCTCTTAACCCACTTATGCCTAGTGTTCCATTGTTGGAATGCTGAGCATGTGAGGGTTATTTATATCCTACTTCTCAAGGTCATCGCCAAGGTCTGATTTTGCAGTTCAAAAAATTGCAATCTCCAGCATAAATGGGTTAAATCTCTCCCCCTAAGAGTCAGAAGCACATACTGTTTTTGTGCATGCTATTTTGTTCATTGCTGAAGGCTGACTTCAATATCCATGGGTATGAATTTTCCCCATTCACCTGCTTTAATAGTCTGTGTTGTTTATACAAGAGTCCAGTTGGAAAAGGGGCATTTCCCTTGTATTCAGGACCAGAACCACCATGTTTAGATGCTCCAGAGAAAGCATTACCGCAACGACTTCATTCAGCCTGTGGTTTAATACTCCATCATAAATCATCATCATGTGGTCCTAATCCATTGGCATAGAGGCAAACCAGTCAATCAAACAAATTTTGCTGCATTCCTACTGAGTGCCAAACACTGCACCAGGGTCTAGGTATGCAGTGTGAACAAAGACAAAAGGCAAATGACATCAAGGAACTTACAGTCTAGTGGGAAGACAGATATTAAGCAACTAATTATCAACAATTAATTCACTAATTACAAGTATCCACGGTACTGCAAGGAGGCACAGGTGTTTGGGGACTTTATTTTAAAAGGTATGTAACCCAGTCTGGAGAGTCAGTAATAATTTTCCTCAGGAAGTGATGTTTTGGGGGGCGTTTTTTGAAATAGGGATCTCACTCTGTTGCCCAGGCTGGACTGCAGTAGCACAATCACGGCTCACTGAAGCCTCAACTTCCTGGGCTCAAGCAATCTTCCCACCTCAGCCCACCAAGTAGTTTGGACCACAGGAGTACGCCACCACACTTGGCTAACTTTTTATTTTGTAGAGACAGAATCTCTAGAGACAGGATCTCCCTATGTTGCCCAGGCTGGTCTCGAACTGCTGGGCTCAAGCAATCCTCCCTCCTCGGCCTCCCAAAGTGCTGGGATTACAGGCACGAGCACTGTGCCCTGCCAAAGTGATGTTTAAGTCAAGACCTGAAGGCTGTCTGATTTAAGCTGGATAAAGCGTGAGGGGAAGGGCATACTAGGCATAGCAAACAGCATATGCAAAGGCATTGAGGTAGGAGAGAATATGAAACTACATTTGTGACTAACTAAATCACTCTTATCCCTTTAACACTTAGCAGCTCAGGAAAAATAGTTATAACTATTTACCATCTGAGTATTTTTTTTAAATTTTGATTACATAATTGTTCTGAAATAACTATCTTTGACTATAAAGATTAGTAACAAAGATAACACCAGTTCAAGGTTAAACAGACAGTTACTGGACAGATGTCCTCACAAAAATATGGCCTTTATACAAGGTCATGCTTTTTATGGTCTTTTATTATAGCTTTTATGATCAGACATACAAATATAAAAACCCACTCCTCATGGCCTTCCTCAGCTCTATTTGTCAGGGTTTTCTTAATATTAGCGATTCCATTTTGATTTTGACAACTTTCACAATACAAAGAGAGGGTGCTTTGAGGTTTCATAGTCTCTTTCTCTTCAAAATGACTTTCTTTATATAGCTGTTCTCTTTTCATTTTCATGGTTGCTCATAGGAAACTATATATAAAGAGAAGAATTAGGGCCTTGTAAAAGATTAAGAGGTAAATTGAATTCACCACTTTGAAAGGAGGTTCTGTCTATAGTCACAATATCCAAGAACAAGCTGAAAATCCATTTATTAAATAGGACCCAGGAGAAAATGGGAAGTAAAATTCCATCTTTCTTGGCATTTTTTTTTCTTTTAGATAAATCACATATGCCCCTGGTGATCTGTGTGAGTAGAAAGTTTCTTACTGAAAACAGTTTTAAAATTCATCTCACCATATGGGTATTTTAAAATCCTTTTACAAATAATTTATAGAAGCAGTAATAAAGGGATAGTATATTAGTTACCTATTACTATATAACAGATTACTCCCAAAACTTAGCAGCTTAAAACAGCAAAAATTTCTCATCTCATGGTATCTGTGGCAGGAATCTTGGAGTGGCTTAGTTTGGTGGTTCTGGCTTGGGGTCTGTCAGGAGATTGCAGTCAGGGCCAGCTTCATGGGCAGGCAAACGGTACAATCACAAAAGGCCCTATACTTGGCTTAATACTCTGCTGTTGCTGTCTTGATTTTTTTTAGTAATTTTTGAAAAAGGAGCCCCCATTTTCATTTTGCACTGGATCACAGTCTAAAATTATGTAGCCAGTCCTGGTTGCACTCAAGCTGTCAGCCAGGATTACAGTCATCTAGGGCTGGAGGATCCTCTTCCAAGCTCACTCACATGGTCATTAGCAGGCCTTGGTTCCGCACCAGCTGTTGGATGGCCACCTCCATTCCTCTCCACATGAGTCTCACAACAGGATAGCTCACTTCCTGCCCAGAGGGGGTGGTGAAAGAGAAAGCCCACCTGTCTTTTATAACCTAATCTCAAGAGTGATGCACCATCATGTCTTAGCCCGTTCTTGCTGCTGTGACAGAATACCTGAGATTGGGTCATGTATAATGAGCAGAAATTTATTGGTTTACAGCTCTAGAGGCTGTGAAGTCCAAGATCAATGGGCCAGCAACTAGTGGGAGACTTCTGGATATGTCATCCCATAGTGGAAGCAGGACGGGCAAGGTTAGAGGGAGACAAACTCACTCTTTCATAACTACACCAATCCCACCCATGAAGGGGGAATCCTAATGGCCTAATCACTTCTTAAAGGTCCCAACTTTTCATAGTGTTTCCATGGTGGTTAAATTTTAACGTGACTCTTGAAGGAGGCAAACATTCAAACCATGGCACATTATTTCTGCCATATTCTGTTGGTCACACTGACCAACCCTGGTACAATGTAGAAGGAGACTGCACAAGGTGTGAATAGCAGGAGGCTAGGATCATTTAGGTCCATCTTGGAGGCTGACTACCACAGACAATGAAAGCCAGCTTTGTTAGAAATGTTAATAAGAATTTAAATATAATAAACCCAAATTGTATTCATTTTCCTACTTTTGAAGATAGTATACCTGAGGCTGGGCATGGTGGCAGCTCACACCTGCAATCCCAGCACTTCGGGAGGCTGAGGCAGGAGGATCACTTGAGGCCAGGGGTTCAAGACTAGCCTGGGCAACATAGTGAGACCCCCATCTCTACAAAAAATAAAATAAAATAATAATAATAAAGAATATAGCATACCTGAAATAGAAAACAAACTTTGATTAAATCATTCATTGATCCAGTGTCATAAACCTGAAACATATTCATCTTATAAATACTGATTCCAGATTTCAAATGTATCTCTAATTGGTTCTAACTTATTCCTTACGGTTCTTCTGTTTGTTATTGAATCATCAAAACACAATACTTTTGAAAGCTTTAGTGGCTCATAACTTTGTTGAAGAGAGAATGCTCATCTTCTTTCCCTAATGATTGCAAAACATTGTCATTTTTTTCTTTCTTAGGTCTACAAACACAATTTTAAATCTTCAATTCAATTAATAGTTTTCTTTCTATACTATTTCCTCCTTATGTACACACCTGCCTACAGCATTTGTCCATTTCAAGTAAATTTTCCACAAAAACCTAAAAAATTAGAGTATTACCATATATCTTTTTAGCAAAATTGGAAGACCCAGGATTTTTCCTAAAATATTGTGTAATTAAGTTCATCATATTGAGTGACAAACTGGATGAAAATACCATATTTCCTTTTTGTCTTTAAAAATATGTTCCTTGGCTTTTATTAAAAAGTCAAAAAATAACAGATATTAGCAGGGCTATGGAGAAAAGGGAATGCTTATACACTGTTGATGAGAATGTAAATTCATTCAGCCACTGTGGAAGGCAGTTTAGAGATTTCTCAAAGAACTACAAAATAGAGCTACCATTCAACCTGGCAATCCCACTACAGGGTATATACTCAAAGGAAAATAAATCCTCCTACCAAAAAGACACATGTACCCATATGTTCATCGCAGCACTATTCACAATAGCAAAAACATAGAATCAACTCAGGTGCCCAGCAGTGGTGGATTGGCTAAAGAAAATATGGCACATATACACCATGGAATACTATTCAGACATAAAAATGAATGAAATCATGTCCTTCGCAGCAACATAGATGCAGCTAGAGGCCATTATCCTAAGCACACCAACGCAGAAACAGAAAAGCAAATACTGCGTGTTCTCACTTATTTATAAGTGGGAGCTAAACCTTGGGTACACATGGACATAAAGACGGGAACAATAGGCACTGGGAAATAAAAAAGTGGGGAGGTTGGGAGGGAGCCAAGGGTCAAAAAACAACCAATTGGGAATTATGCTCACTACCTGGTGATGGGTTCAATTGTCCTCCAAACCTCAGGATCATGCAATACACCTTTGTAACAAACATGCACATGTACCCTCTGAAACTTTTGAAAGAAGTATATATTTTTTAAATTCGTTAACTCTCAAGTTTGAGAAAAATCTTCTAGGCTTTTGTCATCTGAAGACTCATAGGCTAGGTTATGTCTCACATAATCAATTTTGCCAGCATTTGTCTGGACTCTACTGTCTCTTTGAATTCATCTTCTGTTTGTCTAATGATTATGTAACCTCTTCCCCTATCATCTTTCCTCTGTCATAATAGGCAGAAAGTGAAAAATCCGTATTTCTGAACTTCTTAATAAAAACTAAAAGCGGACAACAAAGATAGTATCCCGAGTCTTATATGTTCTTAAAGACAATGTAACATTTTAAGCAATGAAGCAAGAAAACTGAAGGATGACAAAATTCTGATGATTTATTACACTACATTGCATCATCCTTCTAGATGATGCTATCATTCTTCAGTGTTCTTATTTTAGTCTTTTTTCAGCATTTTGGGATTAATTGATAAGTAATGATGAAACGATTCCTAAGATGACAAACTAACTACATAATCACCCATGGGTTCTTCCTGCCCACTCCACAAACAAAACCAGTTCACTGAGACCATGGTGTTGTAGTAAAGAAACAGTGTAATTGACATGAGGCCAGCCACGCAGGAGATAGAGTTATTACCCAAATCAGTCTCCCCAAAGACTTGGAGGCTAGGGTTTGGTGGGCAGGGGACTAGGAAATGGGTGCTGCTGATTGGTTGGGGATGCCATCATAGGGGTGTGGAAAATGGTCCTCATTTGCTGAGTCTGCCTCTTGATGGGGGTCCACAGGACCAGATGAGTCATTGGTCATGAGTACCAATGGGGTCCATCAGTTGCCAGAATGCAAAAGCCCACAAAAACATCAAAAGGCTGATCTTAGGTTCTACAATAGTCATGTTATCTATAGGAGCAACTGGAGAAGTTACAAATCTTCTGACCTCCAGCACAATGGCGGGTTATCATTTAATTATGCTTACATTTTAGCAGAATTCAGGTGCCTCTCATAATCCTAACCCTGTGGCCTTTCATTAGTTTTCCAAAGGTGGTTTAGTTTTGGGAAGGGCCATCATCATCCTTGCTTTAATTTTAAACTATAAACTAAATTCCTCCCAAAGTTAGCTTGGCCTATGCCCAGAGATGACCAAGGACAGCTTTGATGTCAGAAGCAAGATAGAGTCAACCATGTCAGATTTCTCTTACTGTCATAATTTTTCAAAGGTGGTTTCAATTACATGTTTCAAGATACAGGAAAGAATAAGATCACTAAAATCTCATAATGTATCTTACATTTATGAAAGCGTCCAATATCACAATTACAAGTTAAAATGAGTTTTATTCTTTTAAAAAATAAGTAAATTCTACAGTCATACTTTTTGAAAGATATCTAAGAAAGAAAAAAGTCAAAAAATGTTGTGAGAAATGCTCTTAAAAATTAACTAAAATTGGGTCCAAGGGATCGTAATGGTATTAACACAATTAGTCTAAGGATTTGGGAGAAATGATAGCACTGGCATGACCAGAAAGAGACTCAGATCCCTCATACCAAGAGTTCTCTAGTGGCTTCTAACCTCACATACCTCCTTCCTTTTGCCTGACAGCTTCATCTGGCCACTGGCGCATGGTGACCATATGCATGGGCAGGCCAGAAGTGCCTCAAAAGTGATAACCTCAGAAACAACCTCAACCACTGGAGAACCAGAATTCACGGATAAATTCCCCAGCTTCCTCACTCCTCTGCAAGGCACTTCTGAGGTGTGTCTCACACAGTCTCTCAGTGGGTTCCCATCAGGATTGAGCCCCAGTCACCCACAGAGGTAGCCCTCTCATTAATGAACCACTCATCGGCTTTTCTCCCTTCCCTATTACACTTCCGCACTCCCTTACTCTACTTCCTTGGGTCACCTCCAAATAAACTACCTGCACTAAAATTGCTTGTCTCAGAATTTGCTATTGGAAGAACCTAAACCAAGACACACAGGGAAAGCCCACATCATGATAAAGCAGCCACAGCTTCAAACATCATTGGTAGGGCTATCCCTGTTTATCAGGAGACCTCACCATAGACACCATCAACTCAGAGCAGAGCAAAGTAGGCAGATGCAAGCAAACCAAACAGCAAGTAGGGTAGATGGCAATTTAGAAGAAAGAATGCTTTTCATGCTTTTAGAGGTCATTGGAATGAGGAGCTGTCAAAAACCATCAGAAATCCTTTACCCATTTGAAAACAAAAGTTGGAATGGACTTGGTGATGGGGAAATGGACAGTTTGATCTTGTTTAAGAAACAGCCCAAGGCACTGAAATAACCCTGGGCTTGCAGATGGAAGACTTGAATTCCAATCCAGGCCTCTGACGTCAATTGCCACTTCTACAAAAGGGAGATAATAAAGACTTCCCAAAGTTGCGGAGAGTACTAAATGAAATCAATCATGGGTTACAGTAGAGAGCCCTATCAGAGTTTAAACTTGTGTTTTTAATCTTCAGCAAGATAATTTTCCAGCTACCTTAGGGTATAGACAGAAGGAAAAAACAAAACCTCAAAGCAGGTCTTCTTTGTTTTGGAAAAATCCATCAGTTTGTAAGTGAAGGGTCAGTAAGCAGGCCTTTGTGTCCTGGGAGAAGGGTATAACAACGTTTTTGTATAGTAAGCAGCTTTTTAAGACTGTCTGCCTCCTTTAGAAGAATTTGATCCCTGGAGAGGAAGAAGGACCCTGGTTCTGGGCCTGCGCAGTGGCCGAGCTGGGGACATTCTGACTTGCAGTCCTCCTGGAGCTGCTTGCACCCTGGGATTGGCTGCATGATGGAACCAGAGCTTGGAGAGCTGGAATACCAGAACTCAGTTCTAAGGGTCAGCCCCACCACACTGTGCGTGGCTGGGGAAGTAGGTGCCCTCCATGGAGGTGTTACCATACACACAGCAGCAGCAAGATCAGACTCACCAGCACCCAGGCCCTGCCTTCCACCTTAGAGGACTCCTTCACCAGCTCAGCTGGTATGTCCCTTCCCTCTGGCTGCCACAGAGAGGAAGCCGCTGCCTTGTCCACCAGCTGCCTACTTCACCCACAAACAGCACTCTGATGCCTTGCCATCCATGGCCAACAGCATCTGACCTTCCTGATCCCAGGGCAGCATTCTGGGGACTTGACCCATGAGAGCACTAGGGTTACCCTCTTACCAGCGTTGGTCCTGGCCACCCTGGCCGGTTGATCACTGTCAGCCATGGAGAAGCGTAAGAGACAAATATGACTCCTCCCCATGTGAAGGTCACAAGCACCAAGGGATCCCTGGGTGCATAGTGAGAAAGAAGAGGGAGGCCTGATCTGGAGTCTTACATCTATGTCCAGCAGGCTAGGGCTTGTGCATCACAGCCTCAAGCGTGGAAGAGTTAATTTTATGTGTCAACTGGATTAAGCCATGGCATGCCCCAATATTTGATCAAAGGTTGTTCTGAGTGTTTCTATGAAGGTGTTTTGGGACGCAATTAACATTTAAATTGGTAGACCGAGTAAAGCGGCTTGCCCTCCCTGATGTGAGTGGGCTTCATCCAATCTGTTGAAGACCTGAATAGAACATAAAGGCTGACCCTCCCCAGAATAAAGAGACCCTTTCTGCCTCAGGGCATTAGAATGGGGACCTCAGGTTTTGGATTTGAAATGAAACATTGGCTTTGCCTGGGTCTCAAACCTGCTGGCCTGAAGATGACTGAAACTACACCAATAGCTCTCCCGGGTCTCTAGCTCTGGAGAACTCTGACTGATACAGTCTCTACACCCCAAACTGTACTAACACATCTCAGTAACCTGGTGAATCCCCCACACTGTGCCTGGTCACTGTGCCTGGTCAGTTCCATCCATGTGTTAGTTTCCTATTGCTGCTATAACAAATTACCCCAAACCTAGTGGCTTAAAACAACACACATTTATTACATGACAGTTATGGAAGTCAGAAGTTCTAAATCTGTCTGAGTGGGCTAAAATCAAGCTATTGGCAGGGCTGCATTACTTCCATAGGATCTAGGAAAGAGTCTATTTTCTTGCCTTTTTTCTGGAGACCTCCTGCATTCCTTGGCTTGCAGCCTCATCCTCCATCTTCAAAGCCAGCAACATAGCATGGTCCAATCTCTCTGTGACGCTGATCCTCTTGCCTCTCTCTTATAAGGCCCCTTATGATTACATTGGCACACCAGATAACCCAGGATAATCTCCCATCACAAGATTATTAATCTAATCACACATGAAAAGTCCCTTTTGCCATATAAGGTAGCATATTCACAGATTTCAGAGATTAAGATGTGGACATCTTTAGTGGGGATGTTATTAAGCCTGCTGCCTTCCTCCACACCTCATTCCTTTCTAGCTCCCTCCTGATCTTTCTCCTTTCACTGGAGTGTCACCAGCTCCTGGCCTTGCCCATCTCCACCAACATGCAATCCCTTTACCTGGAGGCTGTATTACTGTCACAGCCTCAGTGACTTCTTGTGCTTTGGTGATGCTCAAACTAATGCCTGCAGCCCATGCACCTCCCCAACTCTTCAATCCTATTCGTTTTATGGCCCTCTTTGGTTTCAGCTTGCATATCCAGAGAGTACAGGATCTCCTCACCCCCTCAGAGTCTCACCTCACCCCTATGCCTGGACCATCACCTACAGTGCCTCCAGACTCCTGCTCTTCCAGGCTCAGAAGCGCTCCCACCCCACCTCTTCCAAATCCTACCACTTTTCCTTGGATTTGCAGTTACCATGTTTGTGGTCCCGACTCTGCCACATGGTTTTCCCAAAGTCCAGTGGTTTCCTGGGGGAAAAAAATCATCAGATATTCTCTCCATTGTATCATTTTCCTGTTCAAAGATCTTTAATTATCTATAATTTTTATTTTTTCTAAATGTCCATACATTATATTTGCGATAAAGTGAGAAGTGTCACCTAAAAAATAGGAAGGAATGATCAAATCCAGTCTCCTCTGCCTTCCCACTGCACACTGAGCCTTTAAATTCCATACCCCTCATTCTCATGGCTCCCCATCAGGAAACCCCCATTCCAACTGACATATTGATTTATCCAACAATATGAGTGAGCACCTGCTCTGAGCAAGGCACACACCTTGCAGAATTCAGCATCCATCCTTCCTAGGTCATCTTCTCTCCTGCTCAACAAGGAAACTGACCTCCTTCTGCAGAGGTTAAGCATGATAATATAGCCAAATTGACAAACTGCTCCACAAAGAGGAGAAATAAATACAAATCTAGTAGGTTTTCCTAAGAGTCTTTTTAAAGCTACTACTAAACAGAAAGAGTAGCTCTTTAGTAGTAGCTTGAAAAAACTCGTAGGAAAATGAGTTTTTAACAGCTACTACTTATTGAGCACTTACTACATGCTAAACACTTTATAAATGTCTCCTTCCATCCTCATGACAACCATATTATCTCCTATATTATTGCCATACTTCAAATGAGGAAACTGAAGCTCAGAGAGGCTAAGAAACTTTCCTATGGTCCCACAAGCCCCAGTGGCAGAGTTGTTTTCCAACCTGAACACGTCTGACAGCAAGTCCACATTCTTTGCTGCCACCCTCTGTTAGAACAACTGGACAACCAGATTTTGGAGCTCATCCTGAGAATCAATGTAAAGGCCCAGCTAGCACCAGAGGCTGGAGCCAGGCCATTTCCATGGGATCATAGTTCAAAGTCAATGGTTCAATCTGAGGGCTCTGGCCTTGGGCAAAGTGGCACTCAGAAAGGAGCTGGAGTCTAAGAGGTAGGGCGATACCAACCGCAGCCTCCTTCTCTAGGTTGCACTTCATGGAGTCATGCCAGGCCTTGCACCCAGCCAAAGAGGCAGCATTGCCCTCAGCCAGGAGAACGCTCCACTAGCCACAAATGTACTGCAATTGCTGCTGTCTGCCCCTTGGCCTCAGCCCCTCTGCTCATCCTTCTAGCAACCCAGTGTTTCCTGCGGTCCATGCATCTGTGGCTGGATAATGCCTCTTAGATGGCCACATCTCTCTGGCCACTTAAACCTCAAACATGTTGAGATTAAAGTCCTTATCTTCTATCATCTAGCTTCTCTATCCTCCCACTCTCCAACAAGGTCAAAGTCCATACCCAAACCCACTTGCTAGGCCATTAAAATGACCAGATGATATCGGGGTGAAAGATTACAGAGAGGCCAAATTGAAAAGATTATTTTTCAATAACTAGGATGAAATGCAAATAAGGGGAAATTGTTATTGCTCTTTTCCCATGTGAGAGGTACAGTTTCAATAAGAACATGTAAAAACTCCTTTGACATATTTTGTTTCTAGGTTTGAGCCTTTACCAGATGTCTTGCACAATTAGACATGTGTCCAAAGACAGAAAAATTTCCATTTGGATGCTTGTATCAGAGGCAGGAAATATAACATAATAGTTAAGAGTCCTAGATTGGGAGTTAGACCTCGATTCAAATTCCACCTCTGTGACTTGCTGGCTGACCATAGACATGTGTCTCCACCTCTCTGAACCTCGGTTTTCAGTTTTCTCATTTGTGAAATAGTAATTACAATTAAACCTGCCTTCCTTGTTTACACCCATTGGGATGGCTATTATATTTTTTTAAGTGCTGGCAAGGATGTGGAGAAATTGGAACCCTGTGTGTAGCTGGTTGGAATGTAAAATGATACAGCTGCTATGGAAAACAGTATGGCAGTTCCTCAAAAAATTAAACATAGAATTACCATACGACCCAGCAATTCCACTGCTGGGTATATACTCGAAAGACCTGAAATCAGGGACTCAAGCAGATATTTATACACTAAATCTTCATAGCAGCCTTATTCACAATAGCCAGAAGATGAAAGCAATCCAAGTGTTCATTGATGGATGAATGGATAAACAAAATGTGGTGTCTACATACAAAGAATATGATTCAGCCTTTAAAAGGAAGAAGACTCTGACACATGCTACAACGTGAATGAACCTTGAAGACACAATGCTAGGTGAAATAAGACATATTTTAAAGGATAAATATTGTATAATTCCACTTAAATGAGGCATCTAGGTAGTCAAATTCATCACAGAAAATAGAATAGTGGTTGTCAGGGCCTGGAGGGAAAGGAGAATGGGTTTAATGGGTACAGAGTTTCAGTTTGGGAAGAAGAAAAAGTTCTGGAGACAGATTATGGTGATGGTAGTACAACAATGTGAATATACCAAACGCCAACGAACTATACACCTAAAAATGGTTAAAATGGTAAATTTTATGTTATGTTTATTTCACCACAGTTAAAAAAAAAAAAAAGTCTTCCTTCTAGTTTTGTTGTAAGTGTTAAGTGATTAACATCGGTAAAGCAACCAACAGTGCCTGGCACATGGGAAGCCAGGGAGTGACAAAACTGTAGACAAGGTATCACCACCACTGTTCTTAGTCCTCAGACACAGTGGCTGAATCTTGACCAACCCAGGGCTGACAAGTAAGATTGGACCAGGAGAAAAGGGAGAGCAGATGAGGAGAGCTATCCCAGACTGAGAAATGAAGGGATTATAACAAGACAGAAAGATGGAGTACAGGGCCCCAGGGAGACCTAAGTCCAGAAAGCACCCAGGAAGAAAAGAGGAGGGCCTAACGGAGATGAAGAGGGACCAAGATCTGCATGAAAAAGGGCCGGAGCACACCTGCCGGGTAAAACACAGGATACCTTGTTAAATCTGAATGTCAGATAAACAACAAAATGTTTAGTGCAAGTACACCCCAAATATTGCATAACTCTGCCTTATTGCATGGGTTATGCTAAGAATGTATTTATTGTTTATCTGAAATTCAAATTCAGCTAGGCATCCTGTATGTTTATTTGCTAAATCTGGTGATCCTAGGCCAGAGGCAGGGCTCATCCTTTGGGACTTTATACTAAGTCACTTTAGGATGATGCAGACTCTAGAATAACCTGGTATCTAAAAATCTGGTCAGGGCAGTGGCTGGGAGCAGGAATAGGACAGGATTCTTCACTTTGCAAATTTATTCTTTCACAGTTGGGGTCCCATACATAGCAAGTTCCCCTAACCATAATGTAGAAATTCATTTTTAAAACTCAAATTCGCAGTCTCCTCTTTGAAGGAGCCCACCTATCAAAGCTCAAGGCAGGACGGACCACATTCCCAAAAGCTATGGTTCTTCCGGCTTCCAAGAGCAGAAGAGGAGACTAATAGATATCATTTCCACTGCAGAGGGGTCTGGCTAATAAAAGCCAAATCCCTACCCTGCGCCAAGTGGGTCCAGTCTGTTCCCCAGGCCCTGCTGAACAGCCCAGCATCTCCAGCCCAGGGTTCTGCAGCCGTTTCAGAAAGGGCAGTCACAGATTCCTCGGAAAGCAGAGACCTAAAAAGGGCTTTGTCTATGTCAAACCAAACACAATTCTCCCGCCCCTGCCCTACACTGATTAAAAGCTGGAGTTGTTCGTTTTGTTTTGAGAAGTGCCAGGGTTTTATGCTCGACGTCCCCCTTCCCGCCTCACTATTTCCAGCTGTTGAGGCACATGAGTGAGAAGGACCACACACCAGCAGCCCAGCGGTGCACAGGCCTGGCGGAGATTAAACCCCAGGCGGCAAGGGAGGGCCCCCTTCTTGGGAATGGAGGGCCCAGGGAAACCCCGGTGCAGAAGAGTAGCTGAGCACGGAGAGGGGAGTTCAAGGAGAGAGCCACCCTGCGCCCCTGATCCCCATCCACCCAGAGGCCAGCATCTTGTCCATCCTACAGTCAGCCCAGCAAGCAGGTCAAAAACCAGGCTGCAGGGGGGAAGCAGCACACAATCTTGAATGCTGTGAAATGTGCCTTCCCCTTCTACTTTTTTAAAATCTAAACCAATGTATTGGCCACATAACAAATTTAATTTGCAGGGGAATTCTGAGGGGTAGTGGGGGTGACAGAAAGGAGGCATACATTGGGTTTTCCTCCCAGGCCTACCAGCTAAACCGGCGACCTTAGCCGATTTTGCTGAGCCTCTGCTGGGCCATCTGCCTTGCTTTCCAATCAGAGAGGCCACAGACCAAGATGGAAAAGGCAGAGACATGTGTGATTGGGTTCTTTCCCTTGTCCTACTTAGAACAATCTGCAGGGAGCACGTTTCTTTGCTGACTTTTCATTGCCTGTCTCACCCACACCAGAACGTCAGACTGGATACCCAGCAGCTGGCACAGAACCAGGCGTCGGCTCAGGGAGCCCTGAATACTGTCGATGAATGAGTTGAGCGTGGACCATGCGCGGGAGGGAGGGAGGAAGCGCTGCCTGGAACGAGGCTGTCCCTCCCACCGGAGCACACCTTTTCTGTCCCTGGAGACCCGTTTTCTCGGGGTCGGAAGGGGATACTTTTTAGTGCTTGGGGATCCTCAGTTTTTCTCTTACACCAAGTTTTGAAGCAAACTTGGGGGTTAATTGCATGGCATCGGGCCCCAGCTTCTTACTCTTCTCCTTTGCCTTTGGATCCACTGTCCTCATGCTGAGGGGAGCCTGGGGACTGCGGGAGTGTGGTTTCTGAGGCCACAGAAGGGGGCCTTCAAGGCACCCTCTTTCTGACCTCACCTGCCAAGCACCAAAGAATGGGGTTGTCAGGAGGTACAGATAATAAAAATAAGTCAGAAGGTGCATGAGGAGGAAGCCCGAGCTTCTGGTCATCCGGGCCCCAGCAGAGCGGGCCTAGGCCCAGCAGCATCACATCTGCACCTCTGTTCTGGGGAAGACTGGGAGGCTTTTCCACCCCCACCTCATGACTCCCCGTGCCTCCCCGCTCCTCTCTTCCTCCTCCACCCCGACCCCCACCTCCACCCCGGTGCTGTAATGAAAAGTTCATGTTCAAAGCTTTACATGAGATCTGATTTTCAACACTTTAATTGGATTAATAGAAGCAGGGAGCGGAGAGCACCACAGCCCTTCATCCTGGGATGCCCCTCCTCCCACCTGCCCCCTTCACCTCGGAGCTCAGCTCTCTCCTCTCCGCACTCCCTCGCTCAGCCTCTCCTCTTCGCACTCCCTGCTATTCTCCAGTCCATCTCTCCCCTCTCACCCTCCTGCCAGCAGCCTCCTCTCTGTTCCCAGCACTTTCTGAGCACTAGTAAAATCCTCTGTCTTCCCTAACTGAAGGAAGAGCAGGCTAACTACTGAAAATCCGGATGAATGGAATAGTTCTAAAGAAATTCTATTTTCGGCTGGGTGCGGTGGCTCATGCCTATAATCCCAGCACTTTGGGAGAACAAGGTGGGTGGATCACTTGAGATCAGGAGTTTGAGACCAGCCTAGCCAACATGGTAAAACCCCATCTCTATTAAAAATACAAAAATTACCTGAGTGTGGTGCTGCACACCTGTAGTCCCAGCTACTTAGGAGGCTGAGGCAGGAGAATCACTTGAACCGGGGAGGCAGAAGTTGCAGTGAGCCGAGATCGTGCCACTGCACTCCAGCCTGGTGACAGAGTGAGACTCCATCTCAAAAAAAAAAAAAAAAAAAGCAATTCTATTTTCTTAGGCCCTGGAAATACATACTACCTACTAAGAGAGGTAATGGATAACAGCACTGAAAGTCTTTAAAAGGTACAAATCAAGTATAATTTATATATTGGTTATTAGTGTGCAAGTGCTACCATTAAAGGCCTTCATTCTTGAGGTGACTAACATTTCTCAGACATAATCCTGGCCTTGACACTCCCGCTCCATTTTTTTTTACAGATATAGCTAAAATACACAGCTGGGGAATGACACCCTCAGAGCTGTTCCCATGATCCAAAGTCAATGCTTTGGGGCAGGGAGATGCTGTATCCTTAATAACAACAACAAAATCCCATATCACTAAAAGCTCTGGACAGGCAGTCACCTGAGTCCTGGTGCCTGCTCTGTGCCCCAAGGCTAATTCACATTGAGATCCTGGACACATGGCTTATTTCTCTATCCTCACTTACTTCATCTATACAATTAGAAGGTTACTCTTAATCAGTGGGCTCCAACTTTTTTTATTGTATGCCTCTAGCAGAAGAAGGTTTTGAGCATTCACCCCTACTGTATGTATAACTAGTTACAGTGAGCTACCTGGGTGCATATAATATACACAATGTCTAGAAAATTTAAAGGCTAAACTAAACACTGGCTGGGTGCAGTGGCTCACACCTGTAATCCTAGTACTTTGGGAGGCCAAGGTGGAAGGATCATTAGAGCCTAGGAGTTCCAGACCAGCCTGGGCTGTAACATAGCAAGATCCCATCTCAACAAATAATTTTTAAAATTAGCCAGATGCAGTGGTGCTTGCCTGTAGTCCCAAACACTCAGGAGGCTGAGGTGGGAAAATTGCTTGAGCCCTGGCAGGTGAGGCTGCAGTGAGCCGTGATCACGCCATTGCACTCCAGCCTGGGTGACAGAGCCAGAACTCATCTCAACAAATAAATAAATAAAAACAAAATAAACATGAAATAAATGATATTTTATGCTATTAATCATGGCAGTTTGAATTTATCACTCACTGATATTTAAAGGCAAAATATTTATGTAAAGCAAGACATCATTAATGATTGTTGCTGTAAATCCATATATCAGGCCAGGCACGGTAGCTCATGCCTGTAATCCCAGCACCTTGGGAGGCCAAGGTGGGCAGATCATTTGAGGTCAGGAGTTTGAGACCAGCCTGGCCAACATGGTGAAACCTGGTCTCTACTAAAAATACAAAAATTAGCTAGGTGTGGTGGTGCATGCCTTGTAGTCCCAGCTACTTGGTAGGCTGAGACAGGAGAATCGCTTGAATCCAGGAGGTGGAGGTTGCAGTAAGCTGAGATCGCACCATTGCACTCCAGCCTGGGCAACAGAGTGAGACTCCACCTCAAAAAATAAATAAATAAATAAATCCGTATGTCTAGATTTCAAAATCACTTCAACTTGCTTTAGTCGCTGATTTCTTGCCAGATCATTGTTGTACCTCACAATGCGGGAAAAAGAGAGTTCATATAAGAAATTGGAGGTGGTAACTCAGCCATCATCGTTGTTTTAATATTTTGCAGTTTTAATACTGTCTACAAAACAATTTTTTTGCTTTTAAAAGGAAATTTTTAGGCTGTCTATTTTGTGAGGCTAGGCATTCAACTAAACAATATACTAACAGGCACAAATATACTGTTGTAATACATCACAACACGCTCAAAGCGCAGGACAGAATGAGGGCAACCCGCCCCCACCCTTGATCCAGGGACTCCCACTCCTACATCTGCTGTGGTGCGTGCTGTCTGATGAATGGACTAAGTTGGAGAAGAAGAGCCACTCTGTGAGTAGATATTAATGAGCACTTTTGTTTCTTGTTTTTAGTAGATTACAAATAGAAATGGATTCTAACCATTCTTTTGCCACCATCCAGAGGATTGCCCTGAGGCCGCCCTTTAGTGACCAACGCTCTAGGATCCCTCATCAGTCATTCTTTGATTCTCCAATGTCTCTGTAGCTGGAATCTTTCTGGGCTCTTCACTTCACCTGCTGCTGGTCAGCACTGCCGACTTGTGAACTAAGCAAAGCCAATATAAGCAATGCCTTGCACTGAGGTATACAAACTGTGATGGGCTGTGCATCTGGGGTGAGCAGCACTTAGTGCCCTTGGACATAGATGGGCCCCAGACTCCAGCCTCACACAGTGGGCCAGAGCGTATAGAGATCTCTTTCTCCACTTCTCTCTCACTGCACAACCACTCTCCATCCTTAATTGGTCCCTCCCTTCTCCAAAGCATGTGTCCCCTTCCCTTTCCCTACCAGGAACCCTGTCTTTGCCCAGCCAACCCTTATTCTCCTGCCTGGAGAAAGAAGAAGAAAGTCTCCTATTGGTGTGCATAGGGGTGTTGACATAGCAGGGACCACATTGGACTTGGTCACAAAGCAACTACAGGACAAAGCCAGAATTTAAAGCTAAGGTCTAGATGATTCCAAATCTCATACTGTTTCCAACTTTCCAAAGGCAGGGAATAAGTATGGTTTGTATGTGTATCATGTGTTTGCATATGTGCACATAAACATACATATGGGCAGTCATACAACATCATTGAATACAGGTCACTGGAGTAGATAAACAACTGCAATAGGGTAAGGCTGACGGCCCCAGAAAAGTCCTAGGTCCAAACACGGGCAGACAAATTGAGAGCCCCTGGAGTGGGTAGTCGCCCTGCCAACACCTAACGCCGACTCTTGGTGGCTGGAAAGAGAATGAGGGTGTGCCCACTCACAACATCCTAGCGACACTGAAAAAAAGACTCGGATTTGTCTGCTTGTGACTCATCTGTTTGGTCTCTTTGAAGGGATGATATTTACTCTGGTCTTAGACAGAAACCTATTCTGGTTTGAAAAGAAATCAGATTCCTTGTCAAGGTGATAATGACCCAAATACCATTTGGGGACCTTCTGCACCAGCTGTCCAAGCTCGAGGAAATAAACTCAGTGAGGAATTTGTGGTCCTTCTTATCTACAAGACTATGTGATGAGCAACCAAGTGCAAGTTTCAAAAACAAGACAGCAGAGGAATAAAAGCAGTAAAACAAGGCTTAGCTCTCCCCTCCCTAAGTATGATTAGTTGGTGGGGGTTATTTCAAAATAAAAGTCTACACTTGCCTCATGGCATTGCCTGTCCTTAGATCAGCCCCACTCTCAGTTAAGGGTGGGGGGGTGGTCGCAGCCTCAAGATCATGAGGATGACGATGACCACAACAGCAATGTCATCCACTTTTTGATGTACACATACTTTGTGCCAAAAATCCCCATAAACACTTTTCAAACATTATCTTAATTCACACAGGAGTCCTATGAGGTAACAATCATTGTTACCTTCAGATAAGGAAACTGCAGTTCAGAGGTGCTCAGCAATTATCCCCAGTTCCCCTCTCCGTGGGAGGGTACAGCCAAGACTATCTGGCTCCAAAGCCATGACCTTAACTCCTACTCTAGGAACCGCAGGTTGGAAATGAGAGAAGGGCCACTCTTTTCAACGTGTTTATTATGGAGTAACTTGACCCAACAAATATTTGGGAGCAGGTATTCTCTTCCTGTTAGGTGATGAGAAGGTGTTGCCATCCCCGAACCCATTCATTCAATAAATACTAATTGAGCATCTGCTATGTGTCAGGCACTGTTCTAAGTGCTGTGGATACAACAATGAACAAAACAAGTTCCTGTTCTCATAAACTCAGAATGTAATAAGGAAGAGAGATAACAAACAAATCAACTCATATATAATATGTTGGGGGATGACATGTACCATAAGGAAAAATAAAGCAGGTGAGGGAGATAGAGATGGGGAGGGGAGGTTGCTATTTTGGATAGGGTGCTCAAGGAAGCCCACTCTGATGAAGTGATATTTGAGCAGAGGCTTAAAGGAGTGAGGGACATGCAACAACCGGGAGAAGAACGTTCCAGGCAGAGGGAACAGCAAATACAAGGTGGTAAGCATGAGACCCAGCCTGGAACCCGGTCTCGCTCAAGCTTTTAGGTTCTCAAGCCTGCTTCTCGCTTTGCTAATTTGCAGGATTGTGTTGTCCTTATTTTGCCGTGAGGAAATCAGCTTATATTCTGAAAGTTATTCTTCTCACTGGTTTCACAGAGAAAGGAAAAGAAAGTAACTTTTCTTGTGTTTACTTACATAAGTGCATTTATCCTTATGACGCTCTGAAAAGTCGGTATGTTAAAGTTACAGTCTGTGGGCCTCAAAGTCTATGCTCTTTCCACCACACCACGTGGAAGGGAACCATCTGATTTCATATTGAAGTAATTCCTTCCTTTTTTAAGAGCTCAGAGCACCTGGACACCAGAACCTGAGGTCCTCAGCCATCCCCCCGATCAGACATTAGCTGGGAGCCTCCCGTGTGCCAGGCTCATGTTGGGTACTGTGAGGGAACAGTGATAGCAAAGCAGGCATGGCTCCTCCTCCCAAGGGTGGCTCTGCCCACTCAGCAGGGCCAGTGGGGGGGCAGCTTCCAAGGCATGCTCCATGCGCTGTCATTCCCCCTCCAGCCCTAGGCCAGGACCCAGAGGAATTCCTTTAGGCTCAGCTCTGAGGGAAAATGAATTCTGAGTCCCAGGTCGTCAGCCTACTTTCAGCTGTCAGCTGGGGCTCAGAGTCTGCCACACGCCCCCGTCACCTTCCACTCTGCAAAGTCCTCCAGCCAATGGGCTGGTTTTCAAGCTGAACGCTCCAGGTCTTGCCCATTGACTGAGGTAGAGTGAATGAGGTAACTAAGATCCCGTAGCTTCCCAAGGAATGGAATTCAAGATACTCTCCAAGGTATCTTGGCCAAGCTTCTGGAAGAACCCAGGATGGGTTTGGGGATTCAGGCAAAAGTCTAGCCAGTTCTCCTTTGATCCAAACAATAAGCCTGAAAAGAAGCCCACCCCACACCCTGCCTCCAGAGGAAATCAGACTTCATGGAGTGTTGCCAGGAACCCATCTCAAGTTCTCCCACAGTGGGACATAACTTCTAAACCCAGTGGATTAACAGATCCAGGGACAGCAAACAGAAGAAACATAAGTCTGACTGAAAGCCGTCAAAGATTATTCTGAAAACAGCCTATCAGCCCACCACTTCCCTCCATTCCAGAAAACTAAGCAAGGTGGTTGGAAGTCAGACAGGGAGAGATGGCAAAGGGAAAGAGTGGAAAATTACAGCTGAAACCCACCTCCCCCTCCCCCAACCTTAAAGGCTTCCCTTTCAGTGTCAACAAATATGCAACCAATTAATGTAATTGCAGAGTTATTTATGGTGCCCAGCAAAGTGCAGCTGGATCCTAAAAGACAAAGTTGGAAGCAAGAGAAAAACTTTGTCTCCGCTTTTGGTGTGTGGTTTTGCTGGTCGGGCTCTTGAGGGGGAGGGGAGGGGCTCCTTTTCTTTCAGATGTTTCAGTCAACTTGTGGTATCCATGTGTCTGGTGGTCATGGCCCCTTCCAGGCAGTTTGCAGGTGTTCCTGCCTGGGGCAGGGGGAAAAAAATAAGGGGGCAGCTAGAGGAAAAAAGCTAAAGGTCTTCTGATTTCAAACTGTGATCTGACGTCGAAGACTTTTTCAAGGTTCCCCACTCTGACTGCACCCCTGTCTTAATCCTCCTGCATTGACCCTTTCCATAACAACCACCACCAAAAATTGCACAGAGAGACCTTTTTTCTCATAGCTGTTATGTGATTGTCTGGGATGACAGCTGTGTTGCCACTCAGCGCCTCGCACAAGACAGGTTTTAATTAGAGTTATTGAGGGGTTTGAATTGGCACAATTAGGGCCAGCATTAATGGGGTCTCCATGTGTTCTTTTGAAGAGTTTGGCCCTGTTTTTTGTCCCAGGGCAGGAGGGAGTTGCAGCTAATGAAGTTGGAGAGTGCAAATTATCTCAGCAAAAGGACAGCAAATGTAAACCACCCAGGGGAGGGGGAGACACTCAAAGGAAAGAAACGAAAAGAAAGCAGTTACATGTGGTGGAGGCACAAACACATTCACACACATGCTTACTTTCATATCTTCCTTTTCTTAAATGGTCCTTTTAGAAGGAACTTTTGTCCACCAAATATATATCATTGGCTAAGAGGGAAAGCAGGAAAAATGTGTATGCTATACCAAACTAAACTGAGGATGTGTGCATGCACATGTCTGCTTCTATGCTAACCCCTCAAAAGCTTATGAGCATATTAAAGGAAAAGAGAGATGAGACAAACTTCAGTTATCAAAAATCCTAATCCCTCATCCTCTGAGATGCTGGTTGCTTTTTACTGTCCCAGTTTCCTATTTCCTTTCTTTCCAGATGTCTGTTCCTCTCTTTGAGCTCCTCAAGCCCTTATCCTCTATGTTCCCTAGAACGGGCTCAATTTAAAAAGATAAGGCCTATCCCCAAGTCTCTGAGCCCCCCACCCATGAGCACGTCCAATAAAGTGCAGCCCAGGACGGTGCTGGGGACAGGCCTGAAGTCCAGTAGGCCCTGATGCCTCTAACTTCCCTATGGACCTGACACTCTTCCAAGAGGTACCTTTGGTAAAAGTCATTTCCAGTAGAAAGTCAATCTGGGGAGTAAGAAGGCCAGAATTGGAAAAACAAATATGATGGAGCCCAGTTATAAATCAACTCTGTCTATGTGAGAAGAAGGCAGTTGAACTGAAACAGGCCTCCGTTCAGTGTGTCCCCAGAGCCTGGGGCTGGATTTGGGTGGCCTCTGAACTTTGGGGACTGGGGAGTGGAACCATTTCATAAGCCAAAGCAGCAAAAGGCCACAGTATGCTGCAAAGGCAGAGGCAGGATCATGCACAAGTTGCAGCCAAAAATGAAATCAGGTGAAGCCACCTCCCCAGCACTGTGGGCCAGTGGTGGGGCCAGCTGCCTGCAACAAAGTCCTCTCCCTACTCATTTCAAGATGAGGCTCCTGCTCCATTTTTGCATAGGTGACATCTCCTTCCTTCACCAGGTGTTTTCCCTGATGTATTAGCAATTCCAGTGGCCAAGGCTAGTCTTGCTACCTGGCATAATGAAATGGCGGGGGGGAATGGGGCAGCGTGTTGGCTCACCCTCTGTGGGACAGTCTTGGCAGAGAGGAATGGGAAGCATAGTTGAAGGAACTAGAACCACTCCCAACCCAATGAGGCCCAAGAAATGTAGACAGACAGATACCCAGTTTAAAATGCCTCAAGTACTCCACAGATACTCAGGTGCTGGTACACAGAGGTTGACCTTGTCTGATGCAGCCAACTCTTCTCCTGCCTCACCCACATGAACCATGTGGGGCCGAACTTTAAGAAAAGAATCCCACATGGCCAATTGGTTTTCCCAAAAGATTAAATTCCTGAGCCCAGCAAAGATGAGTATGCCAGCACATGTAGCATGACAGGGATGCTTTAAAACAGTGGTTCCAACAGGGGGCAAATTTGCTCCCCAGGGAACATTTGGCAATGTCTGGCCACATTTTTGGTGATCCTATCTGGATGATAGCGCCAGGGATGCTACAAACATCCCACAAGGCACAGGACAGGCCCCACAACAAAGAATTATCCAGGCTAAAATGTCAATAGTGCCAAGGTTGAAAAACCCTGCTTTAAAGTTAAACAGACCTGGGCTCAAATTCCAGCTCTACCACTTCCTAGCTGTGCGATTTTAGAGGGCCAGTAATCTAAGTCCTGGTTTCCACATCTGTAAACCAGGGATGGTAAACACCTAGCTCACAGTTAAAGCAACTCACTGGAGAGGTTCAAGAAATAGTAATCTTCCTTTTTTTTTTTTTTAACTTAAAAGAATGTTCTAGGCTATCTTTACTAGAATCACTAAAAGAATGTGGCATTTGGGTAATCACTGATGAAGTCTTCCAGCCCTGAAATTGCCCTTTGCTCTTGCTGCTGCCACCTGTCTCCTCAAACAGAAACTAGAAGCCTGCGCACGGAGCCTTTTTGGGAGAAGCCTTCAGGACACCTTCTATTCTGAGTCACAGCAGCCTCCGCGCCACCTGCGGCCAGCTGCACTGTGGTCCCTGGCTGCGCCCCCAGAGACCCAGCCATGGCGGGGCGGCAGGGGAGGGGCCGCCTGGTTTCCGGTGGAAGTGGACTTGAGTTCGGCCTTTTCTTTTGAACCACGCAGCGGCCAAACGTCAATTAGCAGAGCCCGGAAAAATGAGTGCGCTCTGCGCTCTCCGGGAGGAGGGCAGGGCGCCCCCGGCCCGGCCTGGGGTTGCTGCCCTGTTCCCCCTATTGTGCCTCCAACAAGGGCGTTTTATTGAAAAGAGCTGAGTGCATCTAATGCAGTTATCCGTGTCCGCCTCATCGGGCTGTGGGCTGGGGGGCGAGGCACGCAGCTGCCGCCGCCTCACACGCTCGCAACAAAGGAGCGCGCCGTGGAGAATTTGCTCCTCTTTGAACGGCTCATCTGGTTTCCATTTTTGAAAGGTTCCCCAACCCTTCCCTTCCACCCAGCCCCCACCCCACCTTCACCCCCTCCTTTCTCTGCTTTGCTCTAGCTGTGCCCCTTGGGGGAGGGCGCCCCACGACCCCCATACAGTCACCCCCTTATGCGTGTTGGAGGCATGGGTGTCCCCCCTACACCCGGCAGGGCCACACGTCCGAGCTGGACAAACACACGCGGCTTCATGGCCAGCCTGAACCGCGTTCCCTGGCCTGGGCCTCAGTTTCCCCACCTTCAAAACGCCATGATTGCATGCCAGCTGATTAATGGTCTGTGAGTCAACGAACTGATTTGTAAAGCATGTGGCAAGTACATGATAGGATAATTCAGAAAATTTTAATTGCCTTTAATTTTGCTGGAGATAACCACCATCAACTTTCTATTTTCTTCTAGTCGTTTTCTCTGTATAAGAAGTCATATACAAAATTACCTTTCGATTGGGATCAGGTTGTTATGCAGTTTTATATCCTGCTTTTAGTTATATCTGGAGGCATTATCCCATGCTAAGAGTCTCTGAAAATGTGAGATTCTTAACTGCCAAATATGCCATCATGGGTTTGTACCATAATTGATTTAACTGGTTCCCCCACTGTTGGACATTCAGGTTGTTTTCCTGTTTGCTTGGGTGGTGGTGGTGGTTTTTACCCCACTATTATAATTACAAGGCCATTTTTAAAAATAGAATCCTCACGTGGCTTCCCAAGTTGACAGCTGGATCTAAACCCCTGCTCCACTATAAATCAAAGGCATACGGCAGGCACTTCCACCTCTTCTGAGGGCTGGCACGAGGGGAAAGGTCATCACTGGCCTCCTCCTCCCCTGCCTGACACCTCCAGGCACCTGCAAGTTGGAAATTCACATTTGAATCATGGCCCCTGTAAATTATGGCCTTGGGCAAATTGTATAACCCTCAGTGCCCTCAGCTACACAATGAAGATAGAATCACGCTGACCTCAGAAGGCTCTTGTGAGAACTAAATGAAACAAGATACACAATGTGCTGAGCATGTGACTAGGACACAGCTGCCAGGCTGTCCCACTTACTCACTGTGCGACCTTGGGCAGGTTTCCTAGTCCCTCTGCGCCTCAATTTCCCCACCTATAAAATGGGGAGTTGTGAGGATTAAATGAAGTAATACATTAAAATTACAAAAAACTATGCCTGGCACATACTAAGAACTCAGTAAATTTAGCTATCATTATTGTGCACCTGCCTGCCCTGCTTGTGAAGAGTAAGGTCAGCTCCCCCACCCCAACTAGTTTTCTCTTTAATCTCCCACAACTAGCCCATTCCAAACCCTATCAGTACAGGTTCTCCTTCCAACCTCAGGCCCAGCTCCACTGGAGGAATCCTAAGCCCTCAGAAAACAGGATCCCAGATGAGATACTGAGCTTGAGCAAAAAGCCCAGGCCCCAGAGAGATCCTCACAGAGCACCCCAAACCCCCTCCACACCCCTAGCCTCTGCTTCTGGCATTAGCAGTCTCCCCGGCTCAGAGAAGGGGACTGGGTGGGAGTGAGGGGGCTGCCTTGTCATGGCTTTCGATCTCCTCTCTCAGGACATTCTGTTCATTTGTCCAAATAAGAGTAACATCAATAGCAGTGGCCACCATTGACTGAGTCCCAGGTGTCAGACCCTGCAAAGTGTTGTGATGGCGTCTGTGAATTATCAACCCATTGTACAACAGAGGATGGAGACTGACCTCAGAATGATCAAACAAGTTTCCCAGAGCCATGGAGCAGAGATTTGACCTCATGAGACTCTGACCACAAAGTCCTGTTCTTCCCAGGACACTACATGGCTCAGGTTCCTTTATCACTGAAATTGAAGTGGCAGAGTCACCTTTTCTGGAGTGTATGCCCTGAGAAACCTAAAAATGAGAGGCCATTTGGGGTAACATTGCCAGGTTTAGTAAATAAAAATACGGGACACCCAGTTAACTTTGAATTCCAGATAAACAACAAATAATTTTTTAGTGTAAGTATATCCCCATGTAATATTTGAGACATACTTATAATAAAATTTTTCATTAGTTATCTGAAATTCAAAGTTAACTGGGTGTCCTATATTTTATCTGGCAACCGTAATTTGGAGGCTTCATTAAACTCACCTGCAACTGGTTCAGCAGATCAGAGGTACAGTCTTGGTGTCTGGGTCACATCACAATGACGTGGTGTCACCTAATCCCCTCCCATCTCTGTACCCCTTTTATAGCTCAGAGGTTAAGTGACTTGCCTAAGATCATAAGACTAGCCCTTGAATCGCACCCAGGCCCACGATCCCAAGTCCCCGGATACAGTGCCCAGCAAAGTGACCACTGCAGCCCCAGGGAGGATCTGTGCTTTCCAGGGTAAAATTTTCATTCAACTGCATTGACACAAGAAAAATGTGGACAACATCTGAAAGTTTCAACAGATAATGCAACCTAAAGACTCTCGAGATTTGTTGATAATCTTTTGGTTACACGTGACAAAACCTTTGAACTAAACTGACTTAGACTAGAAAGAAATTGATAGCTCATGTCTACCGAAACATCCAAATGACCACACTGATGGGGGTTTGTCAAAGGGACACAGGAGCCAAATGAAAGATCTCCCAATGCTCAAAGATGGAACAAATTGAGCAACAAAATAAAGTAGTATTGGATAATAACCCGAAGTATAAAATAAATAGCCAGGAATCCGTACTTACATAAATAAATAATTGAATAAATAAATGTGAGAGGAAGAGACAAATCTTCCATGCAGAGGAATTCCAAACAATTTATATACATATTGCACCCTCAAGGGGAGGGAACATAACTCCCACTCCTTAAGCGTGGGCTCCACATAGTGACTTCCTTCCAGAAAGTACAGCATGGAAGCTGGGCACGGTGGCTCATGCCTGTAATCCCAGCACTTTGGGAGGCTGAGGCAGGCAGATCACTTGGGGTCAGGAGTTTGAGACCAGCCTGGCCAACACAGTGAAACCCCTGTCTACTAAAAATACAAAAAATAAAAAATAAAAATAAATAAAAATAAAATAAACCGCAGCATGGAAAGGATGAAAAGAGCCATAAAAAGAATGCATTCATGATGCTGAAACCTGACAAGCCCTGCCTTCGCCAGGTGATCAAGGTCAACATCGACAGTGATAAGTCATGTGGACAAGAGGGACCCTCGATACGTCATGAGAGTGGCACTTTGTGGCCTTCCTCCAAAAACATATAACCCAGTCTAATTGTGAGAAAAACATCAGAAAATCCCAGTTGAGGAGCATTCTACAAAATACCTGACCAGGACTCCTCAAAACTGTCAAGGTCACCAAAAACAAGAAAAGTCTGAGAAACCATCACAGCCAAGAGAAGCCTATGGAGACATAAGGATTAAATGTAACATGGTGTCCTAGATGGGATCCTGAGTCAGAAAAGGGCATTAGGGGAAAACTAAGAAAGCCTGAATGAAATATGGACTTCATTTCATTATAATGTACCAATATCAGCTCATTAATTGTGATGAATGTGCCATGCTGATATAAGATATTAATAATAGGGCTGAGCACAGTGGCTCATGCATATAATCCCAGCACTTTGGGAGGCTGAGGCAGGCAGGCTGCTTGAGCTCAGGAGTTCGAGACCAGCCTGGGCAACGTGGCGAAACCCGGTCTCTACAAAATATACAAAATTTAGCCAGGCATGGTAGCACACACCATTAGTCCCAGCTACTCAGGAAGCTGAGGTGGGAGGATCGCTTGAGCCCGGGAGGTGGAGGTTGCAGTGAGCTGAGATCACACCACTGTACTCCATTCTGAGTGACAGAGCAAGACTCTGTCTCAAAAAAAAAAAAAAAAAAAAAAAATATATATATATATATATATATATATATTAGGAGAAAGTGGGTATGGAGTCTGGGAACTCTAATATTTTCACAATTTCTTGTAAATCTAAAACTATTATAAAACAAAAAGTTTCTTTAAAAAAAAAAAGCCAGGGGCTTCAAGGGTGGTTGGACTTCGAGTTCAGATGACCTCATTGTTTGACTCTGCCTGCCTCCGTGCTGCCTCAGGCTCCATGTGACAGCAGCCCGGCAGCAGCACCTTCACCACTACATCCTCTCTGGTTAGAGTTCAGCAGGAGGGAGCCGCCGTGTCTTTCCCAGAATTTCTGCCAGACTCTGTGTGCCTCACTGCTTCTGGCTGAGCCACATACTCAATTACTGGAGCCAGAGGAATGAGAAGCCCTGACTGGCTTCCACCTGCCACCTGCTTCAGCTCTAAGTTGGGGCCTGATTGTGAGGGAGCAATGGATGCACCAAAAAATTGGGGGCTGTCACCTGAAGCAGGTGAATGGATGTCGGGTGGCAAAAAATAATCGACGTCCAATACCCGCTTCAACACTTATAGTACTAGTATGTCCATATATGAAATGCTGATGATGACTCTTTAATATCCTTACTTGCCAAACTTGTTAGCTACTCTATATCCATCAATTTTTAAATCTGATTCAAGAAATGGCAGCATAGAGGAACCACTGTTCAAGTCTGGCTCTGGAGCTAAAGCATGGCAGGTGAAAGAGCAGGAAGAGTGAATTGCAAAACTATCAAGACCTCTCTTTAGGGCTTCGTCATGAGAACCCAAGAAACTGATCTGACAGCCTAGACAAGGACCAATAGAGCAGAAAACCCAGAGGGCTCCCCCAAAGAGCTCCACGACTGAAGCAGGAAGGGTTAGGGAAACCCCTGTTGTAGTAATATATGGTCATGCTGGCTATGAGCCAGACACTCTCCAAAGCAAGTGCATGCATGAACCCATCTGATCCCCACCACAGTGCCATGTTCTAGGTATTATTATCCCCATTTCACAGGTGAGGAGAATGAGGCAGAGAGGGCTTAAGTAAATGTTCCCAAAGTCACACAACTGGCAAATGATTGAGCTGGAATCTGATCCCAGGCTGTGGATCCAGAACTATACTAGAAACCATTATTAAGAACTAAAATAGGAAAATGACCCCAAAATACAGATAGTACTTAATACCCAGCTTCTCACCCCAGTTTTTTGTTGTTGTTTTTGTTGTTGTTGTTGTTTTGTTTTGTTTTCGAGACAGAGTCTCGCTCTGTCGCCCAGGCTAGAGTGCAGTGGCGCAATCTCAGCTCACTGCAACCTCTGTCTCCCAGGTTCAAGTGATTCTTCTGCCACAGCCTCCCTAGTAACTGGAACTACAGGTGTGCACCACAACATCTGGCTAATTTTTTTGTATTTTTAGTAGAGACAAGGTTTCACCATGTTGGCCAGGCTGGTCTCAAACTCCTGGCCTCAAGTAATCTGCCTGCCTCAGCCTCCCAATGTGCTGAGATTACAGGAGTGAGCCACTAGGCCTGGTCTCACCCCACTTTTTAAATCCAGGTTACCATTAACCTTCCTTTGATGGGAAAGTCACTTAAGCTTTTAACTTTACTTCAAGTGCCTAAACACTGCAGGGAAAAAAGAAATAATCTCTCCCTCTAAACAGAAAATAAAAACAAGCCAGCAGGAGAGACTGAACTGGGATCTGAAGAAAACACAGATTCAAGGTAGTGGGTTCAGTTTGCATCTGGATGTTATTTTTTCTTGGCTTATGCATGAGATTTTCTAGTGCCAACTTGACTTTTTCCTCTTCTGAGCCAGTTCACACTGCCTGCTCCCAGGGCTGAGCCCCCATGGGTGTTCAGGATGAGCTTGGCATTGCCAGGTGGGAGCACTCCCTGCAGGGACACGCAGCCTGGCCCAGGGCTCTTGGCCGACAGTAGATGTGGGGACCCAGTATCCTGACCCTCTTTCAGGAAATCTCCATAGGACTTTTTTTTTTTTTTGGCTCTCAGTTCTTCAGCATTACAGCCTTGAGTCCACAGTAATCATCAGAAAGAAAGCCATTCCAAATCCAACCCATTATCCTCTACTATGAAACTACTCCTCCATCTGTGTTCCCCACTGGGCACACAGACATTGCTGCCACCATCAAGTAGGTTGCTCAGACCAGAACCTTGTGCCTGCATACCCCAGAGCCAACCAGTCCTGAAGTCCTGCAAATTCATCTCCTTGATGGTTCTCAAATGTGCCTTCTCTTCCCCAGCTCCACTGCTGGTCACAGGTCAGACTCTCCTCACCTGGTTTGTTGCAACTCCTTCAAACCCCTCTACCTCCCAGGCCTTGCTCCATACCTCAGCCATCACCCTGTGGCCGGTATTATCCTTCTGAAACCCTATGATGATCACCTACCTAAAACAGTCCATGGGCTCCCACTGCCTGCAGGATAAAGCCTGAACTCCTAGGACTCCCGAGGGCCCAGCTCATTCTAGGGATCGTGGGAAAGGGAAGAGAAAAGGGGGGCATTGCCCTTGTCCTCAGAAAGTCACAACAGGAGTGAAAAGACAAGAGAAATATAGGAAACAGCTTTGGAAAGCCGCTTTGAGATTCTCAGATGAAAGATCTTCAGATATCTAGGCTTTTCTGGACTTGTCTCAGCACTCTTCCAATTCCTCACCACCCCCATCACCCTGCCCTGACACCTCTCCCACTCAGATCTGGCTGGGGACCCCAGGCTGGTTCAACATTGCCTGGCCTTCCCCAGGCACATCTTGGGGCTCTGTTGGGAGAGAGAAGACAAGGGCTCTGGAGCATCTCTCAGTTTCCCTATGACCTGGCTTTGCCCAGGTGGATGGCAAGCCCAAGCGCAGTCCCGAGCTGCACAGGTCTGACCGCCTTCATTGTTATTAAAAATCCAGCCTTCCTTTCCAGAGAGTCTGTGGCTTGGCTAGGGGCTAGGCCGCAGGCAGGCAGTCCGCAACACCCACACACACCCTACAGTTCATCTCCCAGGCCTCTGCCCTTCCAGTCCCTGCCCCTCTTCCACTCTGCTCTCGGCCACTTGCTCTATGCCAAGCTCCAACACCCTCAACGGTTTCCCAACTGTTTCCACTAATCCTGTTCTGGGGAGCAGGTCAGCAGTGGAGGAGCTGCAGCTCGTGTGAAAACAGCCCAGGCTGGCCCCAGCACTCACACCTGCACACTCCATTCATCCCCACTGTTTACACATTGTCATCCGCAATTAATGCTTTCCCAGGAACTGCAGCAGGCTGATTGCCCCACCGCCGCACAGGGACCCCATTCTGAGCCCTTGTGTCTGTTAAATTGAGCATGGGGCCCTGTGATTAAATTAAGGTTTGTGGCTCTGGCACTCTGCTTACACTCCATCCCACTCTGCCTTGCTTGTACCGCCACTGCCACCTCCTCCACCTCCTCCTCCTCCTCCTCCTCCTCCTCCTCCTCCTCCTTCTCCTTCTCCTCCCCACCTTCCGCTTTCCCCTCCCATTCATCACTGGGCCTCTTTGCAGCTTGATGGGGGGAGGTGGGCAAGGGGGAAATGGCCTGGCCTCTGGACAGGGAGGAAGAGTAGCTGTCTTCCATTTAAAACAAGGATGAAAGGGGATGCATGACCCCTTGGTGAGAGGGGCTCTGGAGGGAGGGGACAGTGCTGGAACTAGAACAAAGAGGGTGGTGTGGGGCCTTTGCTAAATTCATTAATCAGCCCCTAGAACCAGCACAGCAGAGTGGTTAAGGGTACAGGCTCTGAGGTAAGGCAGCCCTACGTTTGATTCCTGGCTCTGCCACTTTCTGACTCTGGGATCTTACTCAAGAATAACCACCCTGAGTCTTGGTTTCTCTGAGCCGGACAGAGGGATCAGAACAAGCAAGGAAACAGAGGCAGCAAAGGGAGAGGCATTTTTAGACGAAGGGAAGCAGATCAGAAGGGCTAGACATTAATCTTTCTCGGGTGATACTTGGGTTTGATAGTCTGGTGACCATGGAGATCCATGAAGGTCACATTGTCTGGAGACAGAGTAGAGGTAGGGGTAGAAAGGATTTAGGTACCAGCTACAGGGCTTGGAGCCAGGGTTTGCAAACATCACTATACATCAGGACCTACTAGGGAGCACATTCAAAAATACAGACTCCCATTTTCTGTTTTCTGATTTCACAGGTCTTGGGTTACCCCTGGAATCTGCAGTTTAACAAGCATCACAAGTGATTCTCATGCACAGGGCTAAAGAAGCCACGTGGAGAAGCGTAGCCAGGTGTTGAAAGACCATTCTAGGATTTTCACAGTGGAAGATTATTAGATTTGCCTTCTAGAAAGAAAATTAGGGACAGTTGAATTAGGGAGTGGGAGAAACCGGAGGCAAACAGAACAATTAGGAATCTAATGCTACAGTTCAGATGCCAGATGGCAAGGACCCAAACTAAAGCAGTGGCAGGGAGGCTGGGAAGGAAGAGCAACATCTCAGCGTCAGCAGGGCACAGTCACCAATGGATTTGAGAGTGGGGGAAAAGCCAAACGTGAGCCTTCTATTTAGCCTGAGTGGGCAGATGGAAATAGCCTTAGAAAGGGGAAGAGAGAAGAGTGAGGCTTGCAGCAAAGCAGAGGGACAGGGGAAACATGAGTTCTACTTCGGCCCTGTTGATCTGGAGTTTGTGTGTGTGGCCTTCCAGTAAGCAGATGGAAATATGCATGTGGGGCTCAGTGGAGGGACAAAAGTGGAGAGATCCCCTGGGGAATCATTAACACGGAAATTAAAGGTCTCCATCCTGACTGCTCACCAGAGCCTCTGTGGAGCTTTGATCAACAGAGACACCCAGGCTGCATATTTAGGGAATCTGATTTAATGAGTTAAGGGAGGGGCCTGGAAGTCAATACTTTTTGGAAGCCCCCCAGGTGATTCTAATGCACAGCCATGGAAGAGAACCACGGATGGGCAGGTGCTACATCTTGAAGGTTGACAGTATCCCCCAGGTAGGAAGTGGAGGGTGAAGGGCAGGGAGAAAGAGGAGCCAGTGAAAGGAGCCAAGACGGAGCAGGGAGGGAGGAAGATAGACAGCCAGGATAGAAGAACATCCCTCCCTGAAGCCAGAGGTACAGGAAAGGCCAAGAGGGAAAGAGAGAACCAAAGGGGAAATGCTGTCCTAAGATGGGTCATATGGAACAGTGAAGAAGAGACCACTGGATACGGTGATTCTTTCAGAGAAGAGTTCCAGGAAAGTGGCAGATAAGGCAGAAACAAGTTTGTGGGCACAAAGGAGGAAGGGCAGCCACCAATACAGTTATCAGAGATGTCTTTCTCTGGAAGTGCAATGGAGAAAGGGAAGAGGAGAGAAGTAGCAAAACAGTGAAGGGGAGCGGTCATGTAAAAAGGGGGGTGTGTGTTTTTAGGATGAGGGACATTTACACATGTTCAGAGGCAGAGAGAAGAAAGCAGTGTTGAAGGGGCATTTCAGGACACACAAAATTAGATCACCGATGGAGCAAAATTCTAGAGAAGATTAGAGGAAAGAGAAACCTCCTCCTGGTGATCTGAGCTAATGGAAAGACTGGCCTGGAAGGAAGGCAGGAAAAACACACATTCTCTGAGACGACAGAAGGAAGACAGAAAGGAAGGGAAAAACAAAAGGTGAGCAGGTGGGTATAAGACTCAGCTAAGTTTGGAATTGTAGGGAGGGAAATTTAGGGTCTGAACCCCTATTGGTCTCCATTTTCGTGGTGAAGTAGGAGGCTATGGCCCTTGCTACCCAGGCAGTAGGTAGGACGGAGCACAGGGCAGGGGCGGGGAACAGCCATCTTAGAGAGTGGTAAGTTTTCCAAGCGACACAGAGAGCTCCGCAGACCTCCCAGCACCTCACAACCTCAGGGCAAGACCAAAGTCCAGGTCCAAGATTGTGAATTGGGAGGACAAGTACACTGCATGGACAAGGGATGGTAGGGTCGAGGGCAGCTCAGCCGTAGAATCCAGAAGGCAGCGAAGCAGGAAAGAAGTAGGCCCTGAGGGAATGGGGAGGCCCAGAAATAGAGGTCACCAGTATGGGTAAAAAGAGAGGGAAAGCATCCCTAGCACCCAGCTTTTAATTTCTAATACCGTACTCCAAAGGAACCAGGGCTCCTTGGAAAAAATGGTTGGTTCAGGACTTGGGAAATGATGAGCCTGGAGCATCTTGTAGTGCCAGAAAGTAAGGAAGTGCTCACACACACACGGACACACACACAGACACACACACAGAAACGCACATACAGACACATATATACTCACAGAGATGCACACACAGACACACACACAGAAACGCACATACAGACACATACACATACACACAGAGAGACACACATACACAGACACATACACACTGAGACACACACACATACACAGACACATACACACACAGACACATACACACACAGACACACAGAGAGACACATACACAGGTACAAACAGACACACAAACACACAGACACACACACAGACACAGACACACACACACATGCACACACATACACACAGAGACACACACACAGACACACATACAGACATACACACACAAAGATGCATGCACACACACAGACACATACACATACACACAGAGACACATACAGACACACACAGACACAGACACATACACAGACACACATACACACACAGACACATACATACACATGCACACAGAGACATACATAGACACACACACAGACACATATATACACACACACACAGAGACACACAGACACATAGACACACACACACACACACATAGACACAATAATGGGGGTATATCAAAGGGACACAGGAACCAGCTGAAAGAGCTCCAATGCCCCAAGCTGAAACAGTTTAAGCAACAAAATAAATAAAGCAGTATTGGATTAAAACCCAAAGTATAATAAATATTCAGGTTCCATTCTGACATTAATAAATGATGAAATAAATCATATAAATGGTATAGAGGAGACACATCTCCCATGCAGAATTTTCATAATGTACGTAGAACCTCTACCCTCCAGGAGGTGGAGCATAACTAACCCCTCACTCTCCAAGTGTGGGCTATACACAGTGACTTCCCTCCTAGGTGGACAGAATGGAAAGGGAAGAAATAGTAACTTCACAGTGGAGAAACCTGACAGATGATCAAGGTCAACAGCAACTGCGATAAGTCATGCTGACAGGATGCACCCTTGATATAAGGAGAGGAGAGTGGCACTTTACCTCTGTGGTCTTCCTCCCCAACTCCCACAGTTCCAGTCTCTTCATGAGAAAAACATCAAATTTCAATTAAGGGATCTTAATTGAAATACCTGACCAGTACTAATCAAACTGTCAAAGTCACCAGAAACAAGGGAAGTCTGAGACACTGTCGCAGCCAAGAGGAAGCTAAGGAAACATAATGACTAAATATAACATAGGCTAGCCACGGTGCCTCACACCTGTAATCCCAGAACTTTGGGAGGCCAAAGTGGGTGGATCACTTGAGCCTAGGAGTTTGAGACCAGCCTGGGCAACATGGTGAAACCCCATCTCTACAAAAGAATACAAAACTTAGCTGGGCACTGGTGGCGTGTGCCTGTAGTCCTATCTACTCAGGAGGCTGAGGTGGGAGGATCACTTGAGCCCAGGAGGTTGAGGCTGCAGTGAGCTGAGATCACATGACTGCACTCCAGCCTAGGTGACAGAGTGAGACTCTGTCTCAGAAATAAATAAATAAATAAATATAGTATCCTCAATGAGATCTTACAACAGAAAAAGGACAGTAGGTAAAAACTAAGGAATATGAATAAAATGTGAACTTTAGTTCATAATAGTGTATCAATATCATTTGTTAATTATACTGAATGTAGCATGCTAACGTAAAATTTTAATAATAGAGAAACCTAGGTGCACAATGTATAGGACCTCTATACTATCCTTGCAATTTTTCCATAAGTTTAAAACTGTCTTTAAAAATAAAATTTGTTGGCCGGGCACAGTGGCTCAGGCCTGTAATTCCAGCAATTTGGGAGACCAAGACAAGAGGATCACTTGAGCCCGGAGTTCGAGACCATCTTGGGCAACATGGTGAGACCTCGTCTCTACGAAAAATTTTAAAAATTGGCCAGGAGAGGTGGTGCATGCCTGTAGTCCCAACTACTCAGGAGGAAGAGGTGGGAAGATCACTTGAGCCCAGGAGGTTGAGGCTGCAGTGAGCCATGATCGCACCACTGCACTCCAGCCTGGGTGACAGAGTGAGACCCTGTCTCAAAAAATAAATACAAATAAATAAATAAATAATAAAGTTTATTAAAAAGTGGAGGTAAGCAAGTGGATTCTGTAAAGATGATCGTGACAGCATAGTTTTTTAATCTCCCCTAAAAACAGAGAGAGCAACCAAGATAGCAAAATCAAAGACCCACAGACAATATCTACAATATTAAGTGACAGAGTCTCTCTACAAACCACTAAGTACATGTTCATGGGAACAAGCCTTCAAAAGCATGAGACTTGCATGTTATTGGAATCTGCTGTTTGAGCAGGAGCAGAAGAAAGGTTCTGAGAACAGAAAAACCCCAAATTCACCGGAAAATATGGTGAGTCAATCTAAGAAGAATAGCTGAAGTAGAATGGCGCTTCTGTGAGATCCAATCTGTGGGTCAGGGCAGGAGGACCACCATGCAATAACGACTTATGGTGCTGGAGAGTAGCCTGGGCCCTGTAAACTCTCAGGACTGACAAGCATAAGCTCATTTCCGGGAAAAAAAAAAAAAGCCCCACATTGAAGAGAAAATACTACAAATAGTACCCACATGGAGCTGGATTAGACAATAGGAGTAAAGGATGAAAAATGTAAAATAAGGCCGGGTGCTCGTGCCTGTAATCCCAACACTTTGGGAGGCCAAGGTGGAGTCTTGACTCCTGAGGTCAGGAGTTCGAGACCAGCCTGGCCAACATTGCAAAACCCTGTCTCTACTAAAAATACAAAAATTAGGCAGGTGTGGTGGTGCTGGTGTGTACCTATAGTCCCAGCTACTCGGGAGGCTGAGGCAGGAGAATCGCTTGAACCTGGGAGGCAGAGGTTGCAGTGAGCTGAGATTGCACCACTGCACTCCAGTCTGGACGAAAGAGTGAGTGAGACTCCATCTCAAAAAAAGGAAATGTGAAATAAAAATAAGAGAGTAGAACAGATGAAACAGATCTCAGAAAACACCAGACCATATTTTTATCATTTTGCAAAAACAGAAGAGGAGGCTCTAGAGCCAAGAAGCTAGAAAAGCTCCCCTGACTCAACCCTCTTCTCCAAAAATACCCAATTCACTTAAAAAAATTAGTAACAGAAAAGGATCATTTGAATATCCAAGATCAAAGACCAAATCACTTATAAGAGGAAAAAACGAGATTCTCATCAGACTTTTCTACAGCAATGCTTTATGCCAAAACACATGGAATAACATATTTAAGATACTCAAGAAAAAAAATATGAGCTGTGGATTTTATATTAAGCCAAAGAGATCTCTAAGCACAAAGGCCACAGGCAAACTTTTTATTTTTTTAATAGAGATGGTGGTTAGGGATAGGGTGTCTCGCCATGTTGCCCAGGCTGGTCTTGAACTCCTGGGCTCAAGCAATCCGCACGCCTCAGTCTCCCAAAGTGCTGGGATTACAGGCATGAACCACAGCACCTGGCCCACAGACAAACTTTTAATAACATGCAAGAATTCAAGAATATGTTTGCCATAATCCCTTCCTGAGGAATGAACTAGAAAATTAGTTTCAGGAAACAAAAAATGACTGCAAGGTTACCTGTGTAAGTACTGATGATAGACATTAAGTATGCACTTGCCTATACAAATAAGACCAAATAGCAATTAAAAGTGAGACAGGATAGCATGTGATGGTTATGTCCTCTGACAATGTAAACACAACTCTCACAAAATGGGGAAGAATGGAGAGTGTGTATGAAAACTAGAATGAGCTTACCGATTGCCTTATATGTAACATCTAGGAGAAAGAGAATATTACTTCAAATATTGGTGTGAAAGGAGGGGACAGGGAGAAGAGGTTACTATGTAAATTTGATATTGTTCATATTATGGCACCAAAGACCATAGTCCACCTCCATAAAAAAAAAAAAAAAAAAAAAAAAAGACAAAACACTAGAGGAAGTATAAAGTCCCAGCACTTTGGGAGGCTGAGGAGGGCGGATCATGAGATCATGAGATCGAGACCATCCTGGCCAACAATGGTGAAACCCCATCTCTACTAAAAATACAAAAATTAGCTGGGCATGGTGGTGCACGCCTGTAGTCCCAGCTACTCAGGAGGCTGAGGCAGGAGAATCACTTGAACCCGGGAGGCAGAGGTTGCAGTGAGCCGAGATCGCACCATTGCACTCCAGCCTGGTGACAGAGCAAGACTCCATCTCAAAAAAAAAAGAAAAAAAAGATAACCATTAGAAAAAATTAAAACTTTCCTCAATACCAAAAGATATATTGAGAGAGGAAGAGAATGAAAAAAATCCACAAAGTGAAAGACAAATAAGATATTTATGATAAAAGAGACATATGACGTATATCATGATAATACGACAGAACTGAGCCAAACACACTGATCATATCAATAGTGTAAATATGTTTAACTCACTCATTAAAAGGAAAAGATTTTTAGGTTGCCAACAAAGCAAAATGAAAATCTGTGTTATACGTAAGAGACACACCTAAAACAAAGAGATTAAGGTAGGTTAACAATGTTTAAATGCACAAAGATATACCAACTATATGTAAATCTAAAAAAACACCAACAATAGGAGTCACAATCTTGCTATCTGATAAGACAGAACTTAGATCCAAAAAAAACATAGTGAAAGAGACAAAGGCGTTTTATAATGATAAAACCTATCATTCACCATGAAGATATATAGTTATTAGCATATAGCAATCACTTTCATAAAGAAGAAACTATAGTATTTGCAAGGAAAAATAAAACTAATAGGAGACTTTAACATATTTATCTTAATTCAGGACACATTAAGACCTTACGATAGTAAGGTAGGTCTTATTAGTATGTATCCAATTCTGATCCCTAATAACAGAATACAGCTTCTTTATTTTCTTTTTATCTTCCTTTAAAACTTTACTTTAAATTAACAAATAATAATTGTATATATTTATGGGACACAATGTGATGTTTTGATATATATGTATACTGTATATTATGGAATGATTAGATCAAGCTAATTAACATACCCCTCATCTCACACTTATCTTTGTGTGTGTATGTCATGCACACATTTAAATTTTGAAGTGTACATCATTATTAACTATAGTCACCATTCTGTGCAACAGATCTCAAAAATGTATTCCTCCTCATTGAAACTACAGTTTCTTTTTAAGTGCACTTGAAACAGTCACCAGATTGACCATATCTTTGGTCGCACACAAAAAAACTCAATTAAGTCCCAAAGAACACAAATAAAAACACAAACATTATCTCTCTACAATTCTACAAAACTAGAAATTAATAATAAAATTTTAAAACCAGAAGATTTTTCTACCTAGGAACTAAAAATCACATTATTAAACAATCCTTGAATCAAATGAAGAAATACCAGATGAAGTTACAGAATTTCATGAAAGTAATTATGAAGAAACCATGACATATCATAATCTGCGGTATACAATAGATACAACAAAAGCAGTTAGTGGGAAATTTATAGTATTAAATATCTATATCTATGTGAATCAAAATAAGGGAATAAACACCAACTCAAAAAGCTAGAAAAAAAAGCAACGAGGTAAACAAAAAAAATCAGAAAATAAACAAAGATTAAAACAGAAATCAATGAGTTAGAAAATAAAAAACAATAAATAAATTTTAAAACCTGCTTCTTTTTTAAAAAAGAAATCAAAAACAAAATAAACACAAAATGTAGGTAATGTAATCAAGAAAAAAAATGAGAATGGAAGGAAATACAAATGTTCAAAATTAGAAACAAAGAAAAATAACTAAGAAAACAAAAATGTTTCCCCAAAAAGAGATTACCTTGCATGACAATAGGCAAATAACCTTCAAACCTATAAAAATGGATATTTTTAAGAAAAATATAATTTGCCAAAATAGACAGTAATAGAAGTTTTTCTAAGAAAAGTTAAGCAGATCAATTGTCATAGAAGAAATAGAGAAAATACTTAGAGACCTCCTCCATAAACAAAAAAAAGGAATCTTACCAAACTTTTAAAGATCAGATAATCCTTATGCAATTTAAACTATTACAGAGTATAGAAAAAGAAGGAAAACTTCTAATTTTGTTTTATGAAGTGAGTATAATACTGATAGCAAATTTGGCAAAGATTACACACAAAAAAATCAGTCTTGCTTATGAATACTGTTACAAAAATCTTTAACAAAATAACAAACAGAATCCAACAGAACACATATAAAATAATACATTATGACCAAATGGAGTTGGTCCATAAATACAAAGGCAACTTAATAATAGGAAATCCACTAATAGGGTGGGCGCAATGGTTCATGCTTGTAATCCCAGCACTTTGGGAGGCTGAGGCAGGTGGATCACATGAGGTCAGCAGTTTGAGACCAGCCTGACCAACATGGTGAAACTCTGTCTCTACTAAAAATACACAAATTAGCCAGGTGTGGTGGTGGGTACCTGTAATCCCAGCTACTCAGGAAGCTGAGGCAGGAGAATCACTTGAACCCAGGAGGTGGAGGGTGCAGTGAGCCAAGATTGTGCCACTGCACTCCAGCCTGAGTGATAGAGTGACATTCTGTCTCAAAAAATAAGAAAAAAGAGAAATCCACTAATAAAATCCATTCTATTAATAAAGCTAAAGGAAAAATCATATGATCACTTCCATATTTACAAAAAATATAATTTTTTTTCTAATATTCAATGTCCATTCATTTTAAAAACACTCAGTAGAATAGAAGCCAATGGATACTTTCTTGATATAACTATACAGAGAAAGAGATATACTGCATAGTCATATAGGGGAAAAAATGGAACTAATGCTTATATTGTAAATCAGGAAAAATTCCAAAAATATCAGAGATTTCAATGTTTTAAAAAAGACACTACAAAACTCGAAGAAAATATGGATAAATTCTTCTGTCATGTTGGAGTAGGAAAAACTTTCCTATGACTCAAAATCAGAACAAGAGGAAGTTTAACATAATTACATAAAACATAAAAAGTACTGCATGGCAAAAAGAACTATACACAAAGTAAAATGACAAATAATAAACTGAAAAAAAGATTTCGAATTTATACCACAAAAGGGTTAAAATCTCTAAAATGTAAAAATCTTCTAAAAATAGGGAAGAAAATGGCCAAAAACTCTATAGAAAAATAAGCTAGAGGACAGGCATGGTGGCTGATTCCTGTGGCCTCAGCTACTTAGAGCGCTGAGGCAGGAAGACTGCTTGAACCCAAGAGTTTGAGACTTTAGTGCACTGTGATTGCACCTGTACTTCAGACTGAACAACATAGTGAGATCCTATCCTTAAAAATAATAATAAAATTATATACACACATACACACACACACACACACACACACACAGAGTATGCTACCACGTTTTCAAAGAAGAGTAGACTATGAATATATATATTTGTATTTTTTATGGAAGGATCAACCATAACACTTTTTAAAATAATTACCTATGAGGGATGGAGGAAATGGGGTTGAGAATACAGGGATTTAAGACAAACTCCTTTGAATACAACTTCATTTAAAATATTTGACTGTGGAATTATGCAATTTATTTATAAATTATACAACAAAAATACACTTACAGAGTAATACCTAGAAATCAAAAGTAAAATGTAACAGGTGACTCCAACTATATATTCAATTTGTAGCATTAACCATTCCAAATAACAGTACAAAAATGTGTACATCCCTAATGAAATATACCCTAGAACCAAAAACCCTACAAAAACCACAACCTCTTGAGTGGTTTTCGGTATTCCTCATGTTGGTATGTGTATTGGTATTCATATTCTAAAATTGCTGTGTGTGACATGTGAAATAAACCAAATAATCAATTTGATGGTGACACTGAAAACCAGAATGTGAGGTGTGGTCAAAGGTGCTATTGATGGGAGGCTGGGGCAGGAGAATAACTTGAACCCAGGAGGCGGAGGTTGCAGTGAGCCAAGATTGTGCCACTGTGCTCCAGCCTGGGCGACAGATGAGACTCCATCTTAAAAAAAAATCTACAATCTTGAATTTGAACTAGAAATATCAATATGAACTCATGATTAATTTTATCCTAAATATCTACATATGTACACTCATCTTTTCTAGTTCTGTCCACACAAAAGGCCCAGCTATACTAATGAACTAAATAGTAATGAGCACTCAAGCACATAGATTATGGTCTCTAAATATCATTCCCATTAAAAGGAGTTGGAAGTCTTGACAAATGGACAATTCTGAGGCAGGAAATGTACAAGATAAATCTGAAATATCTTATGGTATCAGATAGCAAGGAAACTGTCAAAGACTACTAAGATTGTGTCAAAAAGACTCAGGAATCAAACCAAGTAAATCCTCACTGGCTAAAGATAGGACAATTTTACCATTGATAAAGATAATAACTGTAGGATTGAAACACATCAAGTATATCTAATTCATTAGCTCATATCAATACTAAAAAAATCATTGGTAACCTTTGGAAGATGCTAGAGAACCAACTTACTACCTTCAAAACTGGTAAATAAGTAAAAAGAAAGAATAAAGGTTTCATCCTACTTTTTCTATAATATTTGTTATAACAAATTAATTATTTTTATTAATTAATTAAATATAGAAATTAATTACTATAATAAACTAGTTACTTGATAAGACCAATTCTCTTTATAAGATTAGCTAAACAACACAGAAATATTGGCAGAATATAATCATTTTTCCAACCTATAATGAGTCAATCTATTAAGCAATGATCATCAATGACTGGCAATATGATTTTATTTATTTATTTGTTTGTTTGTTTGTTTTTGAGACGAAGTTTCCCTCTTGTTGTCCAGGCTGGAGTGCAATGGCGCGATCTCAGCTCACCGCAACCTCCGCCTCCTGGGTTCAAGCGATTCTCCTGCCTCAGCCTCCCAAGTAGCTGGGATTACAGGCATGGGCCACCATGCCTGGCTAATTTTGTATTTTTTTTTAGTAGAGACAGGGTTTCTCCATGTTGGTCAGTCTGGTCTCAAACTCCCTACCTCAGGTGCTCCGCCTGCCTCAGCCTCCCAAAGTGCTGGGATTATAGCAAATCCAAGTTCTTGTATTATATCATCCGTAAACATTTGGTTATGTGTCACTAAAATTTAAAGACTCTTAAAAAAACATAACCCAATACCACTTTCATATATATATATATATTTTTAAGAACTTGGATTTGCTTGAAAATAAGGGAGTAGGGAGAGTGAATGAGGTATACATGAAATAAAGTTGGTCACTAATGTTTGTTGAAGTTGCATAATGGGTACAGCAAGTGATATGGGTTGGTTGTGTCCGCATCCAAATCTCACCTTGAATTGTAATAATCCCCAAGTATCAAGGGTGGGGCCAGGTGGAAATAATTGAATCACGGGGGCGGTTTCCGCCATACTATTCGCGTGGTAGTGAATAAGTCTCACGAGATCTGATGGTTTTATAAAGGGGAGTTCCGCTGCACACACTATCTTCCCTGCCACCGTACAAGACGTGATTTTGCTCCTCTTTTGCCTTCTGCCATGATTGTGAGGCCTCCCCAGCCATGGGGAACTGTGAGTCAATTAAACCTCTTTCCTTTATAAATTACCCAGTCTCGGGTATGTCTTTATTAGCAGCTGGAGAGCAGACTAATACAGCAAGTTTAATGAACAATTGTTTTACTTTTGTGTATGTTTAAAGTAAAAAATGTAAAACGAAAGAAAGAGTAGGGTAGGGGGAGAATGTTGATCTGCCAAGATCTCTGACACTCACACTTCTATGAAATGAGGTAATTATTCATCTATTCCACTTAAAATCAGTCAAAGGTTCTCCCAGAATTTCTCTGTTGGCTTACATGTAGGTAGAGCTCTAGATAGAACACAGGAAAATGAGGCATCGGGGGTAACTGAGGTCTCATCACCTGGGCCCTGGGCTCCATTCCTCGCTTCTGTGGATCATTTTGCCTGTATGGCAGCTTACTGCTGAGATCTCATCACCTGGGCCCTGGGCTCCATTCCTCGCTTCTGTGGATCATTTTGCCTGTATGGCAGCTTACTGTTGCTTGATTCAACTTTAAATCTTGATTTGACTCTATTTTCTATGACCAGACGTCTTGCTGTTCATATTTACTTCCACAATACAGTACCAACTATGGCAAATTGTTGAATCTTAGTTTAATTAACACGTTAATTCTTTCAGAAATTTCTATTTAAATGATCAATAAAGAAAATATATAATTGAAAAAGAGAATAGGTCAAAGGACAGGAGAGGTAAGGTAGGAACTGTGAGGCCAGCAGGCTGGAGGGGTCCTTAGTGTGGATTCTGAGGTTGCTCCCGGAGTGCAACAAAGAGGAAACCCAAACCAACCGATTCAGGCATCATCTCCAGTGTCGCCCAGGATCAGCCTCCCACCCTACCCGAGCGGGGCCCAGATCCAAGTGCATGGTACACTTGGGACGCCAACATTAGATACTCAGGGGAGCTGAGTACAAAAGCCCAAGGCAGGGGCTCGGAGCGTGCAGGGTTACCACCCACAAGGAGTCACAACTGTCCTGGCACAGTGACCCACTGAGAGCTGACGCTGTGAGCCTACTTGGCCCCACACCTGGTCTCTGCTACATACAACTAATCCACAGCCTCAGCGCTGGCTGCATGTGAAGAAAGAGAAGCAAGAAGCCACGGGGTACAGAGGTGGAGAGCCATGGCGTAGAGTCAAGAAAGTTGATGGGAGCTCATTGAAGGCCGGGCCTAGGTTATTACTGTCTTTATGTCTTCAGTGCCTAGCACAGGACATGGCACCCAGATCAATACACACACACACACACACACATACACACACATATATATACACATACACACATACACACACATACACACACACATACACACACATATACACACTCATACATACACATATACATATACACATACATACACGCACACACATACACGCACACATATACATACACATATACATACACACATACACACAACACACATACACGCACATATACACACATGCATACACACATACACACACATACACACATACACACACATATACACACATACACACACATACACATATACACACATACATACATATATACATACACATATACACACGAATATACATACACACACATATACACACATATACATACACACACACAGACACACACACACACACACACACAGCAACCCTAGCAATAGACAAACAGAATATGAGATTAAAAGGCAGAGTTCTGATAACAGTAAGAAAAAAAGGGGGGGGTCATGTATTATTTTAAACGTAAAATTTTTTAAAGAATGTTGGAAATTTAAGGATGAGTTTCAGTTTATAAAAATAATATGCAGATCGTATGCAAATGTAGGTCCCTAGGTGTTGACCATGACAAACCAGACTGGCTTTCCAGGCTTGTTTGCCCACACTCCCACTCCTCGACCCATTCCAAGCACCCAGGGCTTCTTGGCCAGCCCTGGCAGCACATAGCTCAGCTCCAGCCTTGCGGAAGCACCAATTATCCTTGGCAGCAAGGCCCAGGCTTGTGACCAGCCAGAGGAGGTCTAGGGTCATTTCACTGTGAATTTCTTGAACTATTTATTTCCTAGCAGGCTGAGAATGAGGGTAGGGATATGTCTAAGATTTGGGGAAAACATACACCTGTTTCATTTCCCTACCTGGCAATGCTACATGGCTCAATGGTACCCATGGAGTCCACAGATCTGGTTTCCAAAAAATCAATTCAGAAAAGTAAGATGGTTCATGGGGTAGAACAGCTTAATGGGCACAGGGTTCTATTTTGGGGTGACTAAATGTTTTGGAACTAGACAGAGATGGTGGGTGCACAACATCGTGAATGTACTAAATTCACACTGAATTTTTCACTTTAAAATGGTTAAATTTCTGTCATAAGAATTTCACCAAAATAAAAAAATAAGGTGGTTCAATACAGTGGCTGAGTAGAAAATTTTCACCCAAGAATCAAATATCATGACATAAAAAGGAAAATCCAGTTAGAAAAGAAAACTGAGGGGAGGGGTTCCACTTTGAAGCAGTAAACAAAGCTAAAGCTGTGAAATACCAAAGATTAAATTTAACAAGAAATAGGTGAGATGCATGCACTTAAAAGTATTTAAAACTGGGCCAGGCATGGTGGCTCACACCTGTAATCCCAACACTTTGTGAGGCTGAGTCAGTTCGAGATCAGCCTGGCCAAGAAGGTGAAACCCCGTATGTGATGATTAATACTGAGTGTCAACTTGATTGGATTGAAGGATGCAAAGTATTAATCCTGGGCATGTCTGTGAGGGTGTTGCCAAAGGAGATTAACATTTGAGTCATGGGCTGGGGAAGGCAGACCCACCCTTGATCTGGTGAGTACTATCTAATCAGCTTCCATCGAATATACAGCAGGCAGAAGAATGTGAATAGGTGAGACTGGTCTAGGCTCCCAGCCTACATATTTCTCTCATGCTGGATGCTTCCTGTCCTCGAACATCAGACTCCAAGTTCTTCAGTTTTGGGACTCACATGGGCTCTCCTTGCCCCTCAGATTGCAGACAGCCTATTGTGGAACCTTGTGATCATGTAATAAACTCCTATATATATACATATACCTATACATATATATACACACACATATATGTATATGTATATTCTATTACATATATATATATATATATATATATATATATATATATATATTCTATTAGTTCTGTCCCTCTAGAGAACCCTGACTAATACAGATTTTGGCACCAGGAGTGCTTCTAGAGGAACAGAATATTAAGAATGGAGTTCTTTTGTTGGTTTGGGGGTTTCTGGAGTTGGCTGCTTAATATGATTAGACTCAAAAATGCTAAGGACTCTACTTCTAATAGTATGGAGAGCACTGATAGTCCTTGGTGTAAACCATTTAAAGAGTTATGCAAAATAAATGCACTGGACTCTCCTGATTCACCGCTCACGAGAGGCAAGAAGTTTAGTGACCCTATACATAATAACTTTGACCATATGTGGAGAACAAAGGAACATAATGAAGCTAGTTGGTTGCTTCTAAGTTCAGTGGACAAAGTGATTAAAGAAAATGATGAACTCAGAGATTCTGTCTCCCAGCTTCAGAAGCAGATACCACGTCTAAAATCTGCTAAGATTACCCTGAGTGAGAGTCTTATCTGCTGTAGAGAAAGAAGTGAAATTGTGGAAAAACAGAGACAAGCTCTTATCACGCAAATGGCTGACCTGCAATGAAAGTTGCATACACAGCCTTGTCAGCTGTCTACTGTTAAAGTGAGGGCACCAATTAGAAAAGAATGAGACCCTGCAACTTGGAATGGGGATGTGTGGGAGGATCTTGGTGAAGCTGGGGACACCGAGTTTGTGAACTCTGAGGAAACTTTTTTGCCAGAAGCAACAGCTTCCCCATCCCCAGTAGTGGCAACATCCCCACCCGGACCCATGCTGCCATCAGCCTTTCCACCTTTGTCTGAGGAGATAAACCCTGCCCTTCCGGAGGCAACAGTGATGGCCTCCCCTGAGGCAGTTGCCAGGAAAAATAATGTTGATTCTCCTCAGGAGCCACCCCCAACACCCCTGTTTGCTTCTAGACCTGTAACTAAAGTCCCGGCGGACCCCTAGAGGTGAGGTTGAGAGTGTGACCCATGAGGGGGTGCGCTACACTCAGAAAGAACTGTTTGAGTTTTCTAATTTATATAAACAGAAATCTGGAGAATAGGCATGGGAATGGATATTAAGGGCATAGGATAATGGTGGAAGGAACACAGAGTCGGATCAGGCTGAATGTATTGATTTGGGCCCAATAAGTAGGGACTCACTTTTAATGTTGCAGCTCAGGGAGTTTAAAAAAAAAAGGTTCTAATAGTTTATTTGCTTGGTTAGCTGAAATATAGATTAAAAGATGGCCCACTGTGAGTGAGCTGGAAATGCCTGATCTTCCTTGGCTTAATGTACAGGAAGGAATCCAAAGGCTTAGGGAGATTGGGATGGTGGACTGGATTAGTCCCTTTAGACCTACTCATCCCAGTTGGGAGGATCCAGAAGATATACCCTTAACTAATGCCTTGTGAAATAGACTTGTGAGGGCAGCACCTGCATCTTTGAAGAGCCCTGTAATTGCTCTTCTCTGCATGTCAAATGTAACAGTGGGAACTGCAGTCACTCAACTATGAAATTTAAATACAATGGGAATAATTGGATCCCGAGGTAGCAGGGGCCAAGTGGCAGCACTCAACCATCAAAGGCTAGGTGGGCATAGCTACCGTAATGGAGAGCAGAGACAAAGCAGCAATCAAAATAGTCTGACTCGTGTAGAGCTCTGTCATTGGCTGATTAATCACTGTGTTCGTAGAAGTGAAATTGACAGGAAGCCTACTGAATTCCTACTTAATTTATATAATGAGAAAACTAGATTGAATGGACAAAAGACTAATTTGAATTATAAAAACAGAGAATCACAACCCCTCAATCAATTTCCAGACTTGAGCCAGTTTACATACCCAGAAACACTTGAATGAAAGGGAGACTGGGTTCCCTGGAAGAAGGACCCCACTACATTACCAACAATTTATGCAGTGAATCTTTCTCCCATCCTTCCCCAAGGAGACCTCCAAATCCAGCCTTTTACCAGGGTAACTGTGCATTGGAGAAAGGGAAATGATCAGACATTTCGGGGACTACTGGACACTAGCTCTGAGCTGACATTGATTCCAGGGGACCCAAAACATCATTGTGGTCCTCCAGTTAAAGTAGGGGCTTATGGAGGTCAGGTAATTAATGGTGTTTTAGCTCAGGTCCAACTTACAGTGGGTCCAGTGGGTCCCCAGACTCATCCTATGGTCATTTCCCCAGTGCCAGAATGCGTAATTGGCACAGACATACTTAGCAGCTGGCAGAACCCCCACATTGGCTCCCTGACTGGTAGGGTGAGAGCTATTATGGTGGGAAAGGCCAAATGGAAGCCATTAGAGCTGTCTCTACCTAGAAAAATAGTAAATCAAAAACAATATCACATTCCTGGAGGAACTGCAGAGATTAGTGCCACCACCAACGACTTGAAAGATGCAGAGGTGGTGATTCCCGCCACATCCCCATTCAACTCTTCCATTTGGCCTGTGCAGAAGACAGATGGATCTTGGAGAATGACAGTGGATTATCATAAGCTAAGCCAAGTGGTGACTCCAGTTGCAGCTGCTGTATCAGATGTGGTTTCATTGCTTGAGCAAATTAATACGTCTCCTGGTACCTAGTATGCAGCCATGGACTTGGCAAATGCCTTTTTCTCCATTTCTGTCCATAAGGCCCACCAGAAGCAATTTGCCTTCAGCTGGCAAGACCAGCAATATACCTTTACTGTCCTACCTCAGGGGTATATCAACTCTTTGGCTTTGTGTCATAATCTTATTTGGAGAGAACTTGATTACTTTTTGCTTCTGCAAGATATCACACTGGTCCATTACATTAATGACATTATGCTGATTGGCTCCAGTGAGCAAGAAGTAGCAAACACACTGGACTTATTGGTGAGACATTTGCGTGCCAGAGAATGGGAAATAAATCTGACTAAAATTCAGGGACCTTCTACCTCAGTAAAATTTCTAGAGGTCAAGTGGTGTGGAGCCTGTCGAGATATTCCTTCTAAGGGGAAAGATAAGTTGCTGTATTTGGCTCCTCCTACAACCAAGAAAGAGGAACAATGCCTAGTGGGACTATTTGGATTTTGGAAGCAAGACATTCTCATTCGGGTGTGTTACTCTGGCCCATTTATCGAGTGACCCGAAAGGCTGCCAGTTTTGAGCGAGAACCAGAACAGGACAAGGCGCTGCAACAGGCCCAGTCTGCTGTGCAAGCTGCTCTGCCACTTGGGCTATATGACCCAGCAGATCCAATGGTGCTTGAGGTGTCAGTGGCAGATAATGATGCTGGCCCCCATAGGTGAATCACAGTGGAGGCTTCTAGGATTTGGGAGCAAGGCCCTGCCATCTTCTGCAGATAACTACTTTCCTTTTGAGAGACAGCTCTTGGCCTGTTACTGGGCTTTGGTGGAAACCGAACGTTTGACTATGGGTCAAGTCACCATGCGACCTGAACTGCCTATCATGAACTGGGTGCTTTCTGACCCATCTAGACATAAAGTGGGTCGTGCACAGCAGCATCCCATCATCCAATGGAAGTCGTATATACTTGATCAGGCTCAAACAGGTCCTGAAGGCACAAGTAAGTTACATGAGGAAGTGACTCAAAAACCCATGGACTCCACTCCTGCCACCCTGCCTTCTCTCCCCCAGCCTGCATTCATGGCCTAATGGAGAGTTCCCTATGATCAGTTGACAGAGAAACAGAAGACTAGGGCCTGGTTCACAGATGGTTCTGTACGACATGCAGGCGCCACCCAAAAGTGGACAGCTGCAGCACTACAGCCCCTTTCTAGGACATCCCTGAAGGACAGAGGTGAAAGCAAATATTCTCAGTGGGCAGAACTTCGAGCAGTGCACCTGGTTGTGCACTTTGCATGGAAGGAGAAATGGCCAGATGTGCAATTATATACTGATTCATGGGCTGCAGCCAATGGTTTTGCTAGATGGTCAGGGACTTGGAAGAAGCACGATTGGAAAATTAGTGACTAAGAAATTTGGGAAAGAGGTATGTGGACGGACCTGAGTGGTCAAAAACTGTGAAGATATTTGTATCCCATGTTGGTGAGCACTTGCTCACCAACGGGTGACCTCAACAGAGGAGGATTTTAATAATCAAGTGAATAGGATGACCCGTTCTGTGGACACCACTCAGCCTCTTTCCCCAGCCAGCCCTGTCATTGCCCAAAGGTCCCATGAACAAAGTGGCCATGGTGGCAGGGATGGAGGTTACACATGGGCTCAGCAACATGGACTTCCACTCACCAAGGCTGACATGGCTACGGCCACTGCTGAGTGCCTAATTTGCCAGCAGCAGAGACCAACACTGAACCCTCAATAACCATTCCTCGGGGTGATCAGCCAGCTACCTGGTGGCAAGTTAACTATATTGGACCTCTTCCATCATAGAAAGGGCAGAAATTTGTCCTCACCAGGTGGCTGGGCTGATTGACCTGGACTATCAAGATGAAATTAGTCTACTAATCCATAACAGAGGTAAGAAAGGGTAGGCATGGAATACAGAAGATCCATTAGAGCGTCTCTTAGTATTACCATGCCCTGTGATTCAGGTCAATGGGAAACTACAACAGCCCAATCCCGGCAGGACTACAAATGACCTAGACCCTTCAGGAATGAACGTTTGGGTCACTCCACCAGGGAAAAAAACCACGACCTGCTGAGGCGCTTGCTGAAGGCAAAGGGAGCACAGAATGGGTAGTAGAGGAAGGTAGTCATCAATACCAGCTACGACCATGTGATCAGCTATAGAAACGAGGACTGTAATTGTCATGAGTATTTCCTCCTTCTTTTGTTAAAAACATGTTGGTGCATGTGTACACCTGCACTAAGAAAATATCTTCATTTTATTTCTCTTTTCCTTTATCATGTGACATAAGATTTATTGACTTCACATCAGCATTTAAGTAGTAAACTTTATGTAATAGTATTTGGGTTGCGGATTGGTGCGTTTCCAGTTGTGTGAAAGATAGTTGTATTATGTTAGGCATAATTATGACCTTACTCTTGTCTTTATTTGAAGATTATGTATGATCTCAGGAGATGTGTATGGGTTCATGTTGACAAGGGGTGAACTTGTGGTGTTAATACTGAGTATCAACTTGATTGGATTGAAGTATGCAAAGTAGTAATCCTGGGCATGTCTGTGAAGGTGTTGCCAAAGGAGATTAACATTTGAGTCAGTGGGCTAGGGAAGGCAGACTCACCCTTAATCTGGTGGGCACAATCTAATCAGCTGTCAGTGAATATAAGCAGGCAGAAGAGTGTGAAAAGCCGACACTGGCCTAGCCTCCCAGCCTACATCTTTCTCCTATGCTGGATGCTTCCTGCCCTCAAACATCAGACTCCAAGTTCTTCAGTTTTGAGACTCGGACTGGCTCTCCTTTCTCCTCAGCTTGCAGACAGCCTATTGTGGGACCTTGTGATTGTATAAGTTAATACTTAATAAACTCCCATATATATATACAAAATAAGTTCCATTCCTCTAGAGAAGAACTCTGACTAATACAAATACTGTGACAAAGAAAGGAAAATCCAGTTAGAAAACTGAGGGGAGGGGTTCCACTTTGAAGCAGCAAACAAAGCTAAAGCTATGAAATAGCAAGGATTAAATTTAGCAAGAAATAGGTGAGATGTATGCACTTATAAGTATTTAAAACCATGCCAGGCACAGTGGCTCACACCTGTAATCCCAGCACTTTGGGAGGCAGAGGTGGGCAGATCACTTGAGGTCAAGAGTTCAAGACCAGCCTGGCCAACATGGTGAAACCCTGTCTCTACTAAAAATACAAAAATTAGCCAGGTATGGTGGTGCATGCCTGTAATCCCAGCTACTCGGGAGGCTGAGGCAGGCGAATCGATTGAACGTGGGAAGCAGAGGTTGCAGTGAGCTGAGGTGGTGCCACTCACTCCAGCCTGGGTGACACAGCAAGACTCCATCTCAGAAGAAAAAAAAAAAGAAAAGAAAAAAAAAAACCTACCTCATAGATGTGAAGATTAAATAAAATTATCATACATGCATGCTTAGCCTAATATTTGGTGTGCAGTGAATCTTAGCATTTAGTAAATGGTTACTGTTACCTCTGTATAAATATATGATAGCATATATGTGATTGTATTATGTATGCTGTGATCTCGCTTTTTAAACTTAATGTTCTATGATGGATATCTTTGCAAGTCAAAGCATGTTTTTATTATCCAGGGTTTTACTCAGCACTAACACATACCATAGGCTCAGAATATACTTGTCATGTGAATAAATTACTCTTGGCTCATCTTTTTTTCTCATTTTTGTTTTTTTGAGTCAGGGTCTTGCTATGTTGCCCAGGCTGGACTTGAACTCCTGGGCTCAAGGATTCTCCACCTCAGCCTCTCTAGTACCTGATACACAGACGTGCATCACCACACCCAGTGTGCCTCATCTTTTTAAGTTTGCTGCTGGCTGTAATGGTTGCCTTGGGTTCCAGCATGCGGATGTGCTATAAATTTATAACCAGTCCTCTGTTGACAGATATGTATTATTTATTGTGTTTAAATGATTGAAAGCAACATTATAAATACCCATTAATGGGTGCAGCACACCAACATGGCACATGTATACATATGTAACAAACCTGCACGTTGTGCACATGTACCCTAAAACAAGTATAATAATAATAAAATTAAAAATAAATAAATACCCATTAATGAGAATTCTGAGTAAATTTTGTACTTCAAGTATTTGCAAATGAGTTAAAACATTTCCACACCTCTATTACTTGTAGTCAAGTATGCCTGTAAGTCATTTCAATGATTTCCTCTAATAAAAATAAAGCTATTTCCATTGCGGGGGCTACAAGCCATGATTTCGACTGCTTCTCCACTGGAAGGCTGTCATGAGTGAGGGTTCCTCAGTGGGTAAGAGAGCCTGGCTGAGCCCCTCTTCTCCATATGCCTTTGTTAGTTTGACTCCTGTCTGCTTTTCCAGGAGAAAAAGAGTGACTTTTGTAGGTAGGAAATGACCACCAAGTGAGCAGTAAACATGGTGAAAACTTCCCTAAAGAAACATAATTCAGGAGACAGCCTGGAGCCCTAACAGCCTTTCTGTGTCGGCAGACACGGTGATTCTGAGGTCTTCAAACTGGGGTGTCACAAATGTATCACCTACAAGCACATCTCCCCCAACTACCCCAGCCGCAGGGGTCTGAAGCAGGCCCACCCTGAACTAGTCAAGATACAAATGGAGACCCTGGCCCACAGCCCATCACCCTTCTCTTCCCACCTCTAACAGCATCCTCCAGCAGAGGGGCCTTGCATGCACTTCTGTATCCAGATAACCTAGTTCCCATGTCCAGCTCTGCCTACCGCCCTCCCCACTGGCTAGACACACTGGGCACACTCCAGGGGTAGAGGTGCACACTCCAGCAGCCAGGAGAACCAGCAACAAGCCCAGGGAGGCCCTGGAAAATAGAATATGGTGCAGAAAAGTGGAAGTGCAGCAGGTAGGTACTGTGGATGCCTCATTCTAAGAGAGCAGCAACTGGAAGACAGCTGGAGCGGGACACTTGGAAGGCCAGCGCCTGGACAGAGCCCTGGCTTCCTGCTGTAAGGCAACACTGGTCTGCTGCATCCGGAAGCCCAGCCAAGGCTTTTCCACATCAGCGGTTCTCCCCGATGACGGTTTGCTACCCAGGGGCCTTGTGGCAATGTCTAGAGACATTTTTGGTTGTTGCAACTAGGGGAAAGAGTGCTACTGATATCAAGGGGGTAGAAGCCGATAGCGCTGCTAAACATCCTGCAATACACAGCCCACAGTCCTTGCCCCCAAAAAAGAACTATCCAGCCCAAAGCGGCAATAGGGCTGAGGTGGAGAAAAACTGGGATACATGCATGAGTGGGCAGGCCAGCAGATTTGGGTTCACATCCTCACTCTGCCACTGGCTTGTTCTGGGACCAATGATTTTATCTCTCTGTGCCTCCGTTTTCCCATTTGTAAAATGGGGTTAATGGTAACTGTTTCACAGGGTTGTTTTGATAAATAAAAAGGACTTGATATGTAAAGTGCCTGGCACATAGCAGGCCTTCAGAAGGCACTATAGGTGTTCCTTTATTAAATGGGGAAGGAAGTGGACTTCGTATTCTTAAATGTTGCTTTATGAACCAATTAGAAGTCTTGGAATTGGGAAGAGAAGATCTGAACCACATAAGCAAGAGAAGTGTATATTATTTCAGAACTACTGTGGTTGAAAGATCAAGGGGAAATTTGGATGTATAGAAAAATCAATACGAAAGTTGTGTTTATACACAGTGCTTTAAGAAGCTGTGAATCAGGTCAAGCTGAGTTATCCCTCTGGCAGGTTTTTCCGGCTTCCACAAAGGATTATCCATATGAAAACATCTTCCTTATCCCTTCCTTCCCCCGCATCTGCACTCCGCACCCCCCTCCCCGCCTCCCCAAACACCGCTGACGGGATTGCCCTGCACCTAAGGGACAGCAGGGCAATCCCATCAGTGATGACTTACTGCCCTCTGGTGGTAGAATTTATAAGTGCAGCTGAAATTTTGTCCGTTAGTTTGATTCCGGTGAACACAGCAAGTGCCCTACCACGTGTAAAGCATCACTTATTTAACAGCGTTCTAAGAGTTACAGGAAATGTAAAGACTGACCAACCCACACTCCTTTATAGAATCAGATGGAGACATGAGGGCTTCTGGGCAGCGGATGATAACTTGGGGCCCCTTCAAATCTCTTTAACATTTGTTTGGCTGGAGAAGGGATTCTCTAATAAAACAAAAATCATGTAATCCCTTATGCTTAAATAAGGAATTTCCTACATGTACCCATGTAAAGCTTTAATCATTCACACTTAACCAAAGAAGCTCATTTACAAGCATGTAGATATAAAGCAATGTCCAAAAGGTCTCAAAAATTTTTTGTCAGCAAAATGTTTCCAACTTTCTTGTAATTTTTCTTTTCTCTTCTGTTCTCTTTTGCAATTTTTTAAATTGGGCGATTTTTTGAGAGGCAAATTTAAGAATTTTAAATGTGGATAACAAGTCACCACTTATTGATAACACTGCCAAAACTAGTCCGAAACCTGAAAGCTGTCGTGCAACTGGGTGCCCAGAGAGTTGCCCTGCCGATCCACCCACTCACGTCTCTGCTCCTGTCTTCCAGAAGCTTATCCTCCGGTGGGGAAGCCATGGCAGGGAAACAAGGAACAGAAGGGCCTATGGAAGGTGTCCTGAGGGTTTCCAGATGTTTACCAAGCACCTTCATGGAGCACACACAAATGTGGCAAACCTTTAAGGAGGAAGAGAACACTCTCCTCCAAGGAGAGGTGGGCCCCCCCAGGACAGGAAGGATTCTGATCGGGGTCAGATCAGGGAAGCCCTTGGACGTCTTGCTAAAGAATTTGGATTTTAGGCCGGGCGCGGTAGCTCACGCCTGTAATCCCAGCACTTTGGGAGGCCGAGACGGGCGGAGATCGAGACCATCCTGGCTAACATGTAAAAATACAAAAAATTAGCCGGGCATGTTGGCGGGAGCCCATAATCCCAGCTACTCGGGAGGCTGAGGCAGGAGAATGGCGTGAACCCAGGAGGCAGAGGTTGCAGTGAGCCGAGATCACGCCACTGCACTCCAGCCTGGGGGACAGAGCGAGACTCCGTCTCAAAAAAAAGAACTTGGATTTTAATCCATTTCACACTGACGGCTGCTAAATGGGGTGTGTGTGAGTGTGCGTGTGTGTGTGTGTGTAAGTAAGAGAGAGAGACAGAGAGAGAGACAAGGAGGCAGAGAGACAGAGAAGGGCAGAGCTGGGCTTTGAGAGATTCCATGTCCCATTCTGTGTGGTAGAATAGACTGGAGAGAGTAAGATTCAAGTGCAGGAGAATTATCGGTTATGAGGGTTGAACCAATTCAGCCACTCTGGATTCTTGGAAGAGAAAGGCGAAGGCAGCAGGCATGTGGGGGCCATCTCCATGCCCCTGGCTTCTGTGGAACTCTCCAGGCCCAGGTCCCTCCTCTCTGCTGCTGTGTAGTGACTGATGGGAAGGGTGAGCTCAGGATAAGGAACCAAGCATTGCAGTGCAGCCCTTCCTTTCCCCCTCCCCGCGGGGGACCTGCTTCCAGGGGGCAGCAGCCACTTAGGTCCGGTCCTCCAGGTGGTTTTTCAGGGCGTTTTGACACCACACTCTTCTGGGTTTCTGTGGCCTCACTAGTCATTCTTTACCAGTCTCCTTTGCATCTTCTTCCTTTTCCCCAACTCTAAATGCTGAAGCACCTCAGGGTTCTGACTTCAGTCCTCTTCTCTTCCGTCTTCATGTTCACTTCCAGATCATCTCCTGCAGTCCCAGCGCTATAAATGCCACCCAAACGCTGATGACTTCCATTGTGCATCCTGACTGCCTCTAAAGTCCAGCCCCATACTCCACATCTCCACCTGGATGATGAAGGGACCGCTCAACATTTGCACATTTTATTCATGAATGGCCTCTCCCCAGACGTGTTTCTTCCCCAGGATCCCTCATTCCTGGAAAACCGATAAACCCATGGCTCAGCTCTCCCTCCTTTACCCCTGATGCTCTCCTCAGCTCTATTTCAGGATCAACACAGATCCAAGCCTTTCTTGCCACGCACTGCTCGCACTCTAGTCCACTGCTGTCCACTGGAAATATCACACAAGCTACAAACACAAGCCATGTATCTAACTGTAGATTTTCTAGATGACAGATTTTAAAGTAAAATGAAGCAAGCAAGATGAATTTTAATAAAATATTTAACCCCATACAGCGTGGTGGTCAAAATACAGTGTTATTTCCACGTGTAATCAATAGTTTTAAAAATTATCCGTGTGATATCTGATGTTCTTGTTTCTGTACTAAGCCTTTAAAATTCAGTCTGTATTTTACACTCACAGCACATCTCCATTCAGACCAGCCACATTCCAAGTGCTCATAGCTAATTGGCCAATGGCTTCCATGTGGGACAGCACAGCCGTGGCCAAGCCGCCCTCAAGCCACCTTCATCTCTGGTCTGGATTGTCGTCATCTTCCTTCTTCCACTCTTAATCCCTGGAAGGCATTTCCCACAAAGCAGCCAGAATGAATGATCATGTTGCTGCCCTCTTTAAAATGTTCAATGGCCCCCACCACTCTGAGAATACAATCACAATCAGCAGTCCCCTCCACAGCCTACACCGACCAGCGTGCCCCTTCCTCCTTAACTTTTCCTCTGCCCCTTCAGCCAAATGAGCCCCAAACCAGGCCCGCTCCACTTGTTCCCTCCGCCCAGAACACTCCTTCCCTAATCCCATTCCTGAGTCCTGCACTATGCTTCTTCTTATCCCAGCCCAGAAGTCCCTTCCAAACCAGCCAGTTGCTTGCCCATTTGTAACCTGCAAGGACCTAGGGGAACTGAACAAAGGAGGCAAATGCGGGAATAAAAGACAAAGACAAAAGAGTATATTTGGAAGAAGGGTCAGGAAGCACCTTGCCTCTAGTGGACAAGGGACCTGACCTTGTACACAGCCTTCCGTATTTATTAGGCAAAAGAGATAGTGTGAAGGGAAGTGGAAGAGGGGGTCAGCTGCTCGGTCCAGAGTAGGCTTGCAAGACTGCATTCTCTGGATGTCCCAATAGATAACCTCAAGGAGCTTGGCGTCAGGAAGCAATTGCCCTCAGCAAACCTTCTGGGGCAGGCACAGTCATGAGTTTGCCCACATTCTGTATTCATGATAAACAGTTTGCTGTTTGATCGTATAGACTCAGTGGAATGTTGGTCACGTCCCATGGGCCTTTGGCTCTCTGTATATCCTCCTTTCTGTTTATGTATTAATTGAAGGAGTGTAAGGCCAGGGTGGGCAGCTCTCATTTTCCCATTGATGGTCCATCCAACTTTACAGACTGTCCCTGGTGCTCCAGTAGTTTCTCAGCCTCCTGTGTGGTTTTCTTGAGTTGTCCCCAGGTTATGGGGGTTGATGTCATGACTGTGGTCGGCCTTCTCTCCGTCTTCGCACTCAGGCTCAGCTGGCTCATGGCTCACACCAGAGGGACCGGACCCATGGTTGGCCACCCTGGGTTCCTCCAGTCTCCCATTCCATGGTTGCACACACCTTGAGGGCACCCACACGGCTTGTCCATCTCCTGTGAAAACACAAGCATACCCTCTTCTCCACGTCAGTAAATCCACCCGACCTTTCCATTGTCCTTCCAGGGATTTCCATAATGCTTTCAGATAAACTTTCCTCTTTTCCTCTAACACTTGCCAATGTCTTTCTGCTGGAGTCTTACCATCTGTACCAGGAGTCCAAAAATGTGAAGTAAATAAGGCTAAATGTAGTTTTGATTGAGGTGGTAGTTGGCCTCCTATACCCCTTTCGTCTTTTCAACATGTGTTGTAATGTTCAATGTGCCTGCTCTACAATGCCTTGTCCTTTAGGATTATAAGGAATTCCTATTTTATGGGTTATAGCCCAAAGCTATAAGAAATTTTGAAAAGCATGACTAGTATAAGCGAGTCCATTGTCAGTTTTTAATTGTTTAAGTATCCCCATATGAGCAAATGATGACAGACAATGTCACTGTACATGACCAGCTGTCTCACCTGTTTGGCATGTAGCATGCAGCATTTGAGAATAAGTGAAACAAATTAAGCAGTTCTGGGTCTAGTGTACTTTTAACTGTAGCAGTTTCCATGTGAATGTGACTGGCTACGTTTACAACATAAGCTGAATTACAGACAATGTTGATAGGATCTGAAGCTGTGAGCTGTAAAACCTGAATGACTGTAATTAGCTCTCAGCATTGCGCTGAAGCACCAGAGGTATCTAGCTTCTCCTGTGTTAGGGGCCATTGATCCACCCGCACAGGTTTGTCACTAAGCCATTCTAATGGTAAGGCAGTGGGCAGGGGAGAAATATCAATGACCTCTGTCAGAAATCCTGATTTCCTAGCCTTTTTCTATCTGTTTTGCCAGTTACTGATATCAGGTTAGGATTTTCCTGTAGGAATTTCCCTAAACCTTTTTCACTCTGATATCCATGTCCTTCAACATTTTAAATCCTGGGTTATCAAAGTTTTCATTTGTAAGTCTCATCTCCCATGCTGTAAGTAAGTCTCAGCCCCATAAACTGATAGCTATATTTGCAACATAAGGCTGAAAAGTACATGACTGCCCATCCGGACCAAGACAAGGTAAAATCTCAGCACTCTGTTGAACACTTTGAGCTGTTCCTACTTCCACTAGGGATGTAGAAGTTAATTGCAAGAGCCAGGATGTGGGCCAATTGTCTTTAGATATTACTGATACATCAGTTCCCGTATCCATAAGCCCATAAAATTTCTTTCCTTTAATTTGTACTACACAGGTGGGTCTATTAGAGGCTATGGGTCGGGATAGATAGATTTCCCATGTAGTTGTGCTCCCAAACCCTTTATTTCCTCGTTTCTCCTTTCATGGAGAAGGGTGTAATTTGCAGGGAATAAGCAATAATTGAGCAATATATTCTCCCAGTTCAAAAACCCAAAGATCTTGTGACATTAAAACTACTTGAGTTTCTCCTTCATAATCAGAGTCAACAGCTCCTGGGACTACAGTCATGCCTTGCAAGTTAAGGCGGCTTTTGCCTAAAATTAGTCCCATGTATCCTGCTGGTGAAGTTCCCCAAATACCAGTGGGAACTTTGATGGGTTTGTCTCCCCCAACTAATGTGATTCTTTCTCTGGCAGGTAGATCTAATCCTGCACTTCCTGGTGTTCCTGGGGTGATGGAATCAATGTGCCTCCAGGAACCCATGCCTAAAACGGGGTTAAGGTCTGGACTGGGAATGCCCTCACTGTTTGTGGGACCCAAGTCCAGGCCCCCATCTCATTTCCCGACAGGGGGGTGCCATTCCGATGAAATTTTGAGCAGCAGTGATTAGCCCAGTGATTTCCTTTGTTACAGCGAGGACAAAGTCCTGGCGTTTTTTCCGCTGATGGGGGAACTGCATTGTAAGATCCTTTCTGTCCTGAGATCTGGTGGCATTCCTTTTTTAAATGTCCAGTTTTTCCACAATTATAACATTTTCCCATTTTAGAGCTTGACCCTTGGCTCCTTTTAGATTTGTCAACTACTAAATTAGCCATTGCTTCAGCTAACATTGAAGAGCGATGAAGCTCAGTTCCTGCATCTTGACAAGCTCTGAGAAAATTTCCCAAGTTTTTTGTACATCTCACAGGTGCCAGTGCACTTTTATAATCCGTGTTTGCATTCTCAAAAGCTAGAGTTAAGGTTAGCATTTCTGCAGCCATGGTATGAGGAATCTGACGCTTCACTGCGTCTTGTAATCTTGAAAGAAACTGTGCATAGGGTTCCTATGACCCTTGCATGATATGTAAAAAGGATTGTACTGGGACTCCCTCTTCAGGAATTGTGGCCCAAGTGCATTTAGTGGCCTATGCGCACTGCTGATAAGCAGCGTCTGGGAGTGCCATTTGACGTTCCAGGTCTGAATAAGGGCCATTACCCAATAGCATATCCTCTGTAATGTCTCCGTTTCCAGCAGCACAGTTCTGTCTAGCCTGCTCTGCACACTTTTCTTGCCAATTGAAATTACACATCAGCTATGCACTCGCAGACAAGCAAGTTCGCGCCAAGTGTTTCACATCAAAGGGTAAAAGATGTATGACACCAAACACTGATTCTAGCAATCCTAAAGTGAATGGGCTCTGTATGCCATTATTTACCACACTCGCTTTTAATTCCTTTAACAACTTAAACTCTAGTGGAGTGTGTTCGTGAATAACCTGCTGCGGATTATTTGGATCAGGCGTTACGGAAATAGGAAAAGCACAAGGTCCTAAGGGCTCTCCGGCTATGACAGCAGAGCATAAATTCTCTGTATTGGGGGGTCTCTATTTTTGCCACCAAAGGAGGCAGTACAGATGTTTCTGCAACTGGAGGAGGTGGTATAGGCCAATTTTTATTCTCCCTCTCCTGTCTTTTATTTTCAATTGGATCTGTGGGTGGGACAACAGATTCTTTCAGATTTTTAGATTCAGCCTGCTACCCCGCATAATAATGAGATAATGGCAGAAGTACAGTACGAACTGAACTCTGAGTGGAAAAAACTGAAGAATCAACTTTAAAACCTTTTTGATGAGCCTGTTTTAATCCTTCTGCTCTATCCCAATTTTCCACATCAAGAGTGCCTGTGGAAACCATGGGTTATGCGTAATAACCTCCGGCAGCATCTTAATGTCTGAGAACTGACCTGAGCACCAGTTTGTTTCAACAAAACTTTAAGCAACTGCACATAATGTTTTTCTCCAACAGACAAATTCTGACTCATGTTACCCTGATTCAGAAAACTTCCCATTCCTAGTACTTCTTTAAAGCACTGCTCCCAGTACCTCTTTAGGGCACCGACCTTATATCCCTGTCGGCAGACTCGGCCTGGGGTCCCCGTTCACCTTCTCAATTTCAGTTCCTCTGCTCCAGCAGACCTTCTTCGTTTACGTCCTTGAAGTCCCTGTTCTGCGGCGCCACTATGTAACCCACATGGACCTAGGGGGACTGAACAAAGCGGGCGAATGCAGGAATAAAAGACAAAAGCGTATATTTGGAAGAAGGGGTCAGGGGGCACCTTGCCTCTAGTGGACAAGGGCCCTGACCTTTACACAGCCCTCCGTATTTATTAGGCAAAAGAGATAGTGAGAAGGGGGGTGGAAGAAGGGGTCAGCTGCTCGTCCAGAGTAGTCTCACAAGACTGCATTCTCTAGATGTCCCAGTAGATAACCTCAAGGAGCTTGGCGCCAGGAAGTGATTGCCCTCAGCAAACCTTCTGGGGCAGGCGCGGTCGTGAGTTTGCCCACATTCTGTATTCATGATAAACAGTTTGCTGTTTGATCATATAGACTCAGTGGAATGCTGAGTTGGTCACGTCCCACGGGCCTTTGGCTCCCTGTACCTATTGAGCCACGGGAGTCTCAAGGAGGAGGACTTTGCCAACTTGTGGCCTCTCTGCCCCAATGCTCCATCCAGCAGTCGTCAGACACAATGACAGCTGACCAGACAGGGTACTCCAGGATCTCAGCCAACTTCCCCAGGCCATGCTTGGGAAGGAGCACAGGTCTTCTCTGGCCTCAGAGTCCCCACATTTATTCTGGTGACTGTCTCCAACCCAGGATTGTGACCTTGGGTGGGATAGTAGGTCAGGGTGCAGGAACTTTGTTTCTCTCCAGCTTTCCCTCTGATTCTCTTCCCTTCCCCAACCCAGCTCTTCTTTTGCTGTTTAGACAACTGTTTAGATTCTGGTCTTTGTTTTTGTTGTTGTTGTTGTTGTTGTTTTGAGACAGAGTCTCACTCTGTTGCCAAGGATGGAGTGTAGTGGTGCCATCATGGCTCACTGTAGCCCCCACCTCCTGGGTTCAAGGGATCCTCCTGCCTCAGCCTCCCAAGTAGCTGGAACAATAGGCACACGCCACCAAGCCCAGCTAATTCTTCATTGTTTTGTAAAGATGGGGTCTCCTTATGTTGCCCAGGCTAATTTCAAACTCCTGATCTCAAGCAGTCCTCCTGCCTTGGCCTCCCAAAGTGCTGGGATTGCAGGCATGAGCCACCACACCTGGCCTAGATTCTGGTCTTGAAAGCTATCAGTACTTTCCTCTGCTTTCAGTTTCAATGAAAAAGCTGAGTATCCTCATGCTTCCTTCTCTCCACATTTCTGAAATCCTCCTCTAAAGGCATGAGGGAACTTCCCAGCCAGGTAGCTGAGGGGCCACAGGTTACAGGATATTGTGGGCTTGGGGTGGGGAAGGTTAGTACTCAGCATTCTGTATCCTGCCACTTACTGAAATGTATTTCTATTAAGAGGTATTTACCATACCTCAATAATAAAAATAAAAGACAGGTGCTAAAGTGATCCATAATACAATGGAATCACACCACGATGTGTTACAAATTCACTTCTTACACACCCCACGATTTCCTCATGAGGTGAACATACAGAAGGTAAGGCCCTGAGCCCTCTGATAGACCTGTGGGTCTGCAGGGCTCCAGCCTTCCAACCAAGGCACATTCATGACAAGTGCAAATAACCACCCAGGGACAGCAGGAGGAGCTGGGCTGAGGCTGGCAGAGACACACACGATCACATGCTGGTGGTCTCCATAAGACTGCTGTTTGCCCCAAGGTTGCTGTTATTTTTTTGGTTATTGCCATTTTTATGTGGTCAAAATATTTTCTACTTTGATTAATTTTTTTTTTTTAATGGAGTCTCACTCTATCACGCAGGCTGGAGTGCAGTGGCGCGATCTCGGCTCACTGCAACCTCCGCCTCCCGGGTTCATGCCATTCTCCTGCCTCAGCCTCCTGAGTAGCTGGGACTGCAGGCACTGGCCACTAGGCCCGGCTTTTTTTTTTTTTTTTTTTTTTTTGGTAGAGATGGGGTTTCACCATGTTAGCCAGGATGGTCTCGATTTCCTGATTTCGTGATCCACCTGCCTCGGCCTCCCAAAGTGCTGGGATTACAGGCATGAGCCACCGCGCCTGGCCTTTTTTTTTTTTTTTTTTTTTTTGTATTTACAGTAGAAATGGAGTTTCACCATGTTGGCTAGGCTGGTCTCGAACTTCTGGCCTCAGGTGATCCACCTGCTTCGGCCTCCCAAAGTGCTGAGATTACAGGCATGAGCCACTGCACCCGGCCATTCTTTGGTTAAATTCTAAGTATTTAAGGCGTCTTAGAAGCACCTCCATAGAACCCCAGGACATCTAGGAACCCAGTTGTAAACAGTCAGACTAAACCATGAATAGCACTTATCTCTGCGTGGTGAGATTTTTGTTTTCTTTTTTGTGCTTATCTTCATTTTCTGCCTCCTCCATAATGCAACTCATATTGTTTTGTTCAAGCTGAAGAGAAATCAATGTTTTAAAGGACTTCTGACCGGGTGAGTCCTGCTGCTCTCTGCCCTCCTACAGACTTTGCTCCCTTCTGGCCATGGAATGTTTGCTTAAAGTTGCAAGGGGGAAAGAAGTGCTTCAGAGGGTAGCTGACCTCCACTCCACCAGCCTCACCATTTTCCAGGCTGAGTGGTGGAACCATAGAGAGTGTGGCAGTAATCACAACTGGCGTGATTCCAGGAAGATAATTGAAAGAGCTCCCTCAGCAAAAGTCATCAAACACTGATAGTTGTTCCCAAGAAGGCAGGGTGAGTCCTTTGGAAGTTTTAAAAAGCAGTAAAGCAACCCAACAAGGGTCAGGAAACCCATGCACCCAGAAAACATCACTGACACGTGGCAGGTAGCGGCAGCCAGCAGCAATGACCTTCCCCATTCCCCAGTCCTCGCTCATAATCATCAAATCAGCCAATTATGGCCCAAGAAAGGCCTAATGCCCTCCACTTGCCACTGCCTTTTCTCGCCAGCATCCACCTGACCTATCAGCTCTCAGAAATGGGCCAAGCTCTCTATTGTCAGTATTCACTGACCGCCTAAACCTGCTGTGGCCCCCAGCTATGCAGCACCAAATTCAGAAATTTACAAATGTGCTTGATGGCACAGAGAGAGTTCAGAAGTACTCACTGAGTGATATTGCTGCTTCAGCCATAGGAAGTGAGGGGACAAGCTTGCTGTCCCTTCAAAGCCCCACTTGCTACCCTACCTTTCAGCACTTTTTTTTTTTTTTTTGAGACGGGGTTTTGTTCTTGTTGCCCAGGCTGAAGGGCAATAACATAATCTCAGCTCACTACAACCTCCGCCTCCCAGGTTCAAGTGATTCTTCTGCCTCAGCCTCCCGAGTAGTTGGGATTACAGGCATGTGCCACCACACCCAGCTAATTTTTGTATTTTTAGTAGAGACATGGTTTCACTATGTTGACCAGGCTGGTCTCGAACTCCTGACCTCAGGTGATCCACCCTCCTCAGCCTCCCAAATTTCTGAGATTACAGGCATGAGCCACCGCGCCCAGCCACTTTTCAGCATATTTTACGCCTACTTTGGAATGGGATCCATCCTCTAAGAGCTTGTAAAAAGCAACTTGTCTGCCATCTTCACTGAGTTAGTAGCTTGTATACGCATTTCCCAACCACATGCTGGAACACTGGATCAGTACCATTTTGCTTTAATTTTGACAGATACCTAAGAGACAACGCATAGGATTGTATGAACCCATTCTGCTCATCCCCCTTCTCTAACCCACCACTTTCCAGCTAGTCTAACCCTAGAATCCCAGGTGAGAAAATAACTTGGTAGTCTCCTTGTCCAACTCTCTACTTGGTACTTGAGTCGCCTGAAAAAATGGTCATCTCTGCTTGAATGTCTCCCACCCACCTGAGCCCCAGTGGCAGGCACTTCCAAGGGACTTCATTTCTTTTTTAGACAGTTCTAGGTTGAAATTTTTCCTTATGTGGAGCCCAACACAGAGTCACCTTCCCAACTCTGAAATATCCTAAATCCAAAATGTTCTGATTTCTAAACTTTTTTTTGTAACTCCTTTTGACAGCAAACTCTGTTCTAAACTGATGTAAGACTAGTTATGGTTTTTGCTTCCCGCATCATATGGTTCACTGCAGAAAATATCAATGTGTTTCATTATGAACCCCAATTAAGATATTACATAATATTCAGTATATGTACTATATCAGCTTTCCACACTTTGAAAAACTATAGAGAGTTTTGGAAAAGATATTGTAAACCTGTATCTGCTTTTCTAAATATGATATTTAGGTTTTTTCTATATCCTAATTATTTTTTTTCAGTTGATCCATCATTGACTGTGATGGGTGAATTAAAGTTTCCTACCATTTGTTTGTCTGTTTTTACCCCCTGTATCTCTTATAATTTTAGCTTTATGAATGTTGTGCTTTGCTATTTGGTACATAGATATTCAGAACTGTTGTATTCATTGTGGATTCCATCCTTAAGTATTATAAAGTGACTTTCTTTCTTTTTTTTTTTTTTTTTTTTGAGGCAGAGTCTGGCTCTATCACCCAGGCTAGAGTATAGTAGCTCTATCACTGCTCACTGCAGCCTCAGCCTCCCTGGCTCAAGTGATCCTCCCAGCTCAGCCTCCTGAATAGCTGGGACTACAGTTATGCAACACTACTCCTGGCTAATTTTTTTTTTTAATGTTTTGTAGAGACAGGGTCTATGTTACCTAGGTGGGTCTTGAACTCCTGGGCTGGAGTGACCCTCTCACATCAGCCTTCCAAAGCACTGGGATTACGAGCATGAGCCACAGCACCCCACCTTAAAGTGACTTTCTTCATCTCCATCTAGTGTGATATTAAAATTATGACCTGGGCTTTCTTTTGTTTGTCTTTTGTTTTGTTTTGCATTTGCCTCACCTATCTTTGTATGTACTTTTATTTTCAACCTTTTTTTTTTTTTTAAGATGAAGTCTCGCTCTGTCACCCAGGCTGGAGTGCAATGGCGCAATCCCAGCTCACTGCAACCTCTGCCTCCCGGGTTCAAGCAATTCTTCTGCTTCGAAGCCTCCTGAGTAGCTGGGATTACAAGCATGTGTCACCATGCCTGGAAAATTTTTTTATTTTTAGTAGAGATGGGGTTTCACCATATTGCCCAGGCTGGTCTCAAACTCCTGACCTCAAGTGATCCACTCACCTCGGCCTCCCAAAGTGCTGGGATTACAGGCATGAGCCACTGCACCTGGCCTATTTTCAACCTTTCTGAAAACACTTATTGTAGGTGCTCACTTGCTTGAGCTCAGCATGAAGGTGGGTGTTGCCTAAGAATACTCTGAAATATTGTTTATTTTAATAGGTGAGTTAAGCCTATTTCAACATCTATTCATATGTCAAATAAATTAGCGTTAGTTCTAACATAGTAACATTATGTTCTATTTTTGTTTAGTTTTTTAAAAACATTCACTATGTAGTCTGTTGTCTTTGTTGCTGTGAATAATTATTTTCAAATTTCAATAGGTTTTCATTTTTGCTCTGTTACTTTTATAATAAAACTTTTAAAAAATACCTCTAGTTTTCTATTATTCAAGAAATGTCTATTAGTGCCTAGGAACAATGAAAAAAAAAGCACATTTCCTCTTCCTCTCTTCCTCCTCTCTCCTACCAAAGAGAACATCTTTCTCTGAGTTTCATTTTGTACTATTAAAAATGTGTATGCTTCTATTACTTGGTTTGTCAGTCTTGAGTAATATTTTTTGACTCCCACTTATTACAGATGTAACAATCAGTTACCTTAATCTACCTCTCACCTACTTTCCCCCTTCCTCCACGAGTATTTGTTCAGTGCATGTATTTATACATTGTCAGGACATGTCATTTTTACATTATTTTCAATTACTCTAAAGTGTGGAATTATTTTTGCTTTAGTCTACATTACATATATTCAAAGTTGCCTCCAGTCTTTTTTCTATAATGTCCTCAGTTATCTCTTTGTTGGCTGGCATCCATCCTCTGATTGTTTCTTCAAGAAAGATTCAAAGAATCGACATCCCCTGAATTATTTTATGATCGAGGATATCTGTAGTCTTTATGGTTGAAGGATAATTTGGCTGGATTTGAACTCCATGTGTAACACTTTTTTTTCCCTTGGACATCTTTTTTAAGTATTGCATGACTTTCTTCTGACATTGAATATTGCTGCACGGAACTCGGAAACAAGCCTGCTTCCCCCGCCCCTCAGTGACTTGATCATTTTGCTTAGTTATCTTTGAAGTTTAATAACTTTACTAGGACACATCTCTAGGTTGGCTCTCCTGCATTAATTTTCTCTGATACATAATATAAATTAATGTCTCTATTTCAGAAAATTATATTTTTGTCCCTTGCTGTGGTTTTTTTAATTGCCTATTATTTGCACCCCTTCCATTTCATCCTTATTTCTCTGATACTTTGATCTGAGTTCTGCCCACCCATGCTTCATCTCATTCTGTTATCTCACAATCTCATCCCTATGTTCTTTTTCCTTTCAACTTTTCATTTGGAAAACTTGCAGAGCTACAGACATGTTGAAAGAATAATACAATGAGCAGCCATATATCATATACTTCATATAGATTCACCAATTATTATTATTTTGCTCTATGTGCTTTCACTGTCTCTATACTCACAAACAATACATACATGCATTTTTCCAAATCATTTTTAAATAGATTGTAGACATCAGAACACTTCAACCACAAAAACTTTAGTCTGCACCTCCTAAAATAAAAACATTCCACTATATAACCCCTATCTTAGACCATTTGAATTGCTAGAATAAATTACCATAGACAGGGTAGCTTGTAAACAACAGAAAATTATTTCTCACAGTTCCAGAGGCTGGGAAGTCCAAAATCAAGACACCCACGATTCAGTGTCTGTCGAAGGCCTACTTTCTGGTTCACAGATGGTACCTTCTTGCTGTGCCCTTAGATGGTGGAGGGGGCAAGGCAGCTCTATGGGTCCTTTTTTATAAGGCCACAAAACCCATTCATGAGAGCTCTGCCCCCATGACCTAATCACCTCCCAACAACCCCACCTCCCATCACATTGGTGATTAGGTTTCAACATATGAATCTTAGGGGGGCACAAGCAGTCAGACCATAGCAACCATACTAATTTAACAATAACTTTATAATATCATCTAATATATAATCTATACTCAAATTTCCCCAATTACCTCAAAAAATGTTTTTAAATACTATTCCAACCCAGTATCCAATTATACATTGCATTTGCTTGTTATGTCTCTTTATTCTCTTTTTTTTTTTTTTTTTTTTTTTTGGAGATGGAGTCTGGCTCTGTCACCAGGCTGGAGTGCAGTGAAGAGATCTCAGCTTACTTCAACCTCCACCTCCCGGGTTCAAGCAATTCTCCTGCCTCAGCCTCCCAAGTAGCTGGGACTACAGGTGCATGCCAGAACGTCCAGCTAATTTTTGTATTTTTAGTAGATATGAGGTTTCACTATGTTGGCCAGGATGGTCTCAATCTCTTGACCTCATGATCCATCAGCCTCGGCCTCCCAAAGTGCTGGGATTACAGGCATGAGCCACTGCGCCCAGCCTTTATTCTCTTTTAATCTAGACTAGATCTCCAACTTTTGTTATGACATTTACTTCTTTAAGAGTATATGCCAGGGTTTGCTTAGGGCAGGGAGGTTGAAGAGTGGCTCCTCTGTTTACAATACACCAAACAGGAATCTGGGGTCATTGTGACAAGGGGCACAAAACTTGTGTCCTCCCTACATGTGAAAAAAAAAAAAGAGAATCCATGCCAGTTGTTTTATAAAATATCCCATAGACTAGATTTGTCAGGTTGTTTCTTTATATTTCATTTGTTTATCTAGCATTTGTATTTCTGATAAATTGCCAGCTAGGTCCAAAGACTTGATAAAATTCAGATTAAACATTTTGCCTGTAATGATGTTGTGAATTTCATATTGCATTCCATCAGGAGGCACATGAGTTTAGGCTGTCTTGATATCAGTAATTCCAAGTTTGACCACTTGGTTAAAATGGGTAACTGCTAGGTTTCTCCAATGTAAAGGTACATATCTTCCCTCTATAATTACTCCATGTGGTGATACTTTATCACCATGAATATATTATTCCCCAATTGCCTTTTACTCAAGGGTTTTCACATCTATTGATGATCCCTACCTAAACCAATTGCTATATTAGGGGTTGCAAAATGGTAATTAAAAAAAAAATCTGTTAATGTATTTCTGTTTTGTGGTCTTTCTTCATAGAAGCAATTACTGCATTCACTTTTTAAAATTCAATTGCCTAATGCTTTTTTCAGCTGCTCTATGTCAATTTTTTCTGGTAAGTATTCTTCAATTGTTGGAAATGTTTGACACTCTTTTTTCCTCCTTCACCTTATAGTGGATTTAATTTGATGCTATGTGTCACTCATTATTGAGTGGGCAAGTTATTTGCATGAGGCTCTGTTGGGGGGCGGGACAAGGTATCCTTTTAGGATAGCTGGCTTCCCTCCACCACCATCAGCCATAGACACAGACTGCTTCATACAACTACTGCTCATCCATTTGATTTTTTGTATAGCCCCATGTGGACAGTTAATGATGGTCATAAATTCTTTGCTACTCTTCCCATTTAGAGGTGGAGTCTATTTCTCCCATCCCTCAAATCTGGGACACTCTTAGTAAATTGCTTGACAAAATATAATGTGCTGAAAGTGACATTGTAGGCCTTCCATACTAGGTCATAAGATGCCTTGCAGCTTTGACTTAAGCCTCGTGGAGCAATTGCTCTGGGGCCATCAGCTACCAGATAAGAAGTCTGACTACTCTGAGATCACGATGCAGATGACTTATCCTCAGCAACCATATGAGGACCCCAAGCAAAAGCCATCAGCTGAACCTGTCATATCCCAGAACTGTGAAAGAGAATAACAAATAAATGTTTAAAATCACCAAATTTGGGGGTGGTTTGTTATACAGCAATGGATAGCTAAAACGTCCGCTTCTACGGGCTGTATGAACCTGAGCGGGGTATAAGATGGCTTCTGCTGTCAGCCTTGCTCACCCAATTCCCATAGCTGTTGTTACAAAGGAAGGAGATCTCTTTTGCACTTGAGGTTGCATCCTCCACCTGCAGGAGGTATACATATTCCTAGAGCTTCCTGACATCCACCCCCTCTGCATTCTCTTTCTCCCTAGTGAGTGCTGCCTAATGGTGACACCGGCAGCCTTTTCACGCATTCTGGAGTCTGCAAATGGTATGTGTCCCCGTTTCACCAAAAAATTATTGTCTATGGAATTTTTCCCCATTTTCCTTGTTGCTTTTGAATGATTTCTAGAAAAGGAAGGGAGAAATAGCCTCTTTCTTTCTTTCTGATTTGTTTGTTTTAGACAGGGTCTTGCTCCGTCACCCAGGCTGGATGCAGTGGTGCAATCACAGCTCACTGCAGCCTCCATCTCCTGGGCTCAAGCAATCCTCCAATCTCAGCCTCCCAAGTAGCTAGGACTACAAGCATGCACCACCACACACAGCTAATTTTTAAAATTATTTTTTGTAGGGACAAGCCCTCACTATGTTGCCCAGGCTGGTTTCAAACTCCTGAGCTTGTGTGATCCTCCCACCTCAGCCTCTCAAAATGCTGGAATTACAGGCATGAGCCCGAGCCCAGCCATCCAGCCCTTTTTTTCTTTTTCTTTTTAGCCTCAAGGTTCACTCTGTCGCCCAGCCTAGAGTGCAGTGCGCAATCATAGCTCACTGCAGCCCTGACCTCTCAAACTCCTAGGCTCAAGCGATCCTCTTGCCTCAGCCTTTTAAGTAGCTGGGGATATAGGTGCCTGCCACCACACCTCGCTAATTTTTTATTCTGTGTAGAGACTAGGTCTTATTATGTTGCCCAGGCTGGTCTGGAACTCCTGGACTCAAGCAATCCTCCTGCCTCAGCCTCCCAAAGTGCTGGGATTACAGGCATGAGCCACCATGTCCAGCCTCTACAGCCACATTTATACCATAAGTCACTACCATATTTTTTAATGGCTACATTCTTTTAAATGGGCCATAACCAATCACCTACTAATAGATATTTAGGTTATTTCCAATAGTTCACTATTACAAAGCAATGCTGCAGTGAAAATCTCTTTACGTAGATCCTCAAGCAATTATCTCTATAGGATAATTTTCTACAAGTAGAATTCTACTGTCAAGAGCAATGGCTGACTGAAGGCTTTTTATGCCACTTCAGAATCTGGGAAAATAGCTGACTTTTGCCAGAGATGAAATTAAAATGTCCCTTAAGTAAAATTTACACAGCCACCACTACCCCCCCATGATTGTTTGGATGTTGTGTTTGTTGTGTTGCTTGCTACATCCAGCCTGTGAAAGAACAAGTCTAGGCCAGTTTGGAAAAAATATGCAATCACAGGATCTTTTCCAGTCAAAGCTTTCAGGTCTCAAAAAGCAGGCTAACTCGGGAGACAGGATGAGGCAAAAGAAGGAGCAGGTCAGAAGAGCAGCTGGGGCCCGGAACCAGGCTGGGCATGAATACCAATTGTACCACTCACTAGCCATGCAAATTGGGCAGATTATTTAACCACTCTAAGCCTTTTCCTAACCTATAAAATAAGGATAGCAATAGCATCTTATCTCATAAGGCTATTGTGAAGACTAAATAAAAACGTGGGCATTTAGTGCTATACATTTCCCTCTTAACACTGCCTTAGCTGTATCCCAGAGATTCTGGTATGCTGTATCTTTGTTCTCATTAGTTTCAAATAACTTATTGATTTCTCCCTTAATTTATTTGCCCAAAAGTCATTCACGAGGAGGCTGTTTAATTTCCATGTAAATGTATGGTTTTGAGCAATTTTCTTTGTACTCAATTCTATTTTTATTGCTTTGTTGTCCAAGGGTGTGATTGGTATAATTTTATTTTTGTTTTTTGCATTGGCTATGAATTGCTTTATGTCCAATTCTTTGGTTGATTTTAGTGAATGTGCCATGTGGCAATGAGAAGAATGTATATTCTGTTGTTTTGGGGTGGAGAGTTCTATAGATGTCTACTAGGTCCATTCAGTCAAGTGTTGAGTTCAGGTCCTGAGTATCTTTGCTTTGATGATTCGTCTTGCCTTGATGATCTGTCTAATACTGTCAGTGGGGTGTTGAAGTCTCCCTCTGTTATTGTGTGGGAGTCTAAGTCTCTTCATGGGTCTCTCAGAACTTGCTTTATGCATTCACCCCCTCTGGAGGATGCAGCAACAAGGCATTATCTGCAGAGAGCAGCCCTCATCAGATACTGAATCTGCCAGCACCTTGATCTTAGACTTTCCAGCCTCCAGAATTATAAAAAATAAATTTCAATTATTTATTTTTTAAAAAGAACTTGCTTTATGAATCTGGGTACTCCTGCGGTTGGTGCATCTATATTTAGGACAGTTAGGCCTTTTTGTTGATTTGAACCCTTCACCATGATGTAATGCCCTTCTTTGTCTTTTTTCATCTTTGTTGGCTTATAGTCTGCTTCGTCTAAAATTAGGATTGCAACCCCTGCTTTTTTCTGATTTCCATTTGCTTGGTAGATTTTTCTCCATCCCTTTATTTTAAGCCTATGGGTGTCATTGCATGTTAAATGGGTCTCTTGAAGACAGCATGCTGTTCGGCCTTGCTTCTTTATCCAGCTTGCCACTCTGTGCCTTTTATTTGGGGCATTTAGCCCATTTACATTCAAGGTAAAGGGAACACTTATACACTGCTGGTGGGAGGGTAAATTAGTTAAACCATTGTGGAAAATAGTGTGGCAATTTTTCAAAGAACTAAAAACAGAACTACCATTCAACTCAGCAATCTCATTACTGGGTATATACCCAAAGGAATATAAGTCATTCTACCATAAAGACACATGCACACGTGTGTTCATTGCAGCACTATTCACAATAGCAAAGACATAGAATCAACCTAAATGCCCATCAACAGTAGGCTGGATAAAGAAAATGTGGTACATATACATCATGGAATCTATACAGCCGTAAAAAAGAATGAGATCATGTTCTCTGCAGGAACACAGATGGAGCTGGAGGCCAATATTCTTAGCAAACTAATGCAGGAACAGAAAACCAAATACTGCATGTTCCCACTGATAAGTGGGAGTTAAATAATGAGAACTAATGGGCACGAAGAAGGGAACAACAGACACTGGGGCCTACTTGAGGGAGGAGGGTGGAAGAAGGGAGAGAATCAGGAAAAATAACTATCAGAACTATCAGGTACTATGTTTAGTACCTGGGTGACAAAGTGGTCCGTGCACCAAACCCCCATAACACAAGTTTGTCTGTAACAACAAACCTGTACATGTACCCCTAAATCTAAAATAAAAGTTAAAAAGAAATGTAATTTAAATCACAGCATCCATCACACAGCATGTGCTCAACAACTCTCAGGTATCATTAACATAACACAAAAAGATCTTCCTGTTTCCAAAATTGTATTAAATTAGAGTAGATTCTGAGGGGATATGGGGAAAAGAATGGAGGGTGTCAGGTTCCTGGAAGAGATTTTTCCATTCTCTGCAAAGTCACATTGCTAGGAACAGAGGGAATGGGAAGGAGTGGGAGGAGGGGCAGCCAGGGCAAGAAACTGTTTTCTCAAAGGGAAAAACTCACAGTAGGAGGTGGAAGGATTTTGGGTTCCTGAGAAGAGGTGAGGAGGAAGAGTTGATAGAGACTACGTGGTTTAGAATCCAGGTTACAAATGTGTTCATAGGAACTCTTCTTCTCTTTGGATGTGCACAATAGACACATGCCCAGACCCTGATCTTTAACAGATATTGGTCAATTCCTCCTCACCCTTTGGCATCAGGCAAATGTGTAAAAACCTAACGTCTCCCTTTGACTTCAAGGCCTCATGTACGGTTGCACAAGACATCTGTAGAGTGGCGTCCCTAGCATTGTGTAGTGCCCAACCTGAACAGGTGTACCTGGCAGCCCTGCATGGCCTCCACCCTCACGTGCTTCCATATTGCATTGTGTACCATCTGGCCATCTGTGGTCTTGTACAGACCATCAGGTCCCTGAGAACAGGAACATGAATTATATAGTTTTTTTTATTTATTTATTTTTATTTTTTTTGCCTCCCATGGTGCCTGGTACTCAGTTAGTGATCAATAATTCTCCCCTAGCAACTCTGTTCCCTTCTGATTAGCCCCAGGGAGAGGAAGCAGCCTCCTCTGAGACTCAACCCTACCCTGTGGGAACGCTCAGTCCAGGCATCACATCCAGTGCCCAGTCCTCTGCCTGCCCTCCCTTTGATACCAGCCCAACTCAAGCACCAGGAAATCATTAGCAGAGACTCTCAAAGGAAAAGAGGCTTCAAGTTCATGTCACCCAGGGCCACAGTATACGGCCCCGCAGGCTGCCCACCGCGCAAGCCCAGGGAGCAGCCTTTTCATGGATATGATGCAATATGTATGGATCCTGCCATCCAACCCTTATCCAAGCAGGATTCCAGAGGCCTCAAGGCCATTCTTGGAGAGCTCTCATTTTCAGGTGGTTCCTTGCACCAAGCCAAAATCTGTCCCCACCTCCACCCAACAGTGGTTCACACCCTGGTCCCTATTCTGCCCTCTGGAGTCCTACATACAAAGCCTAATCACCTGTTTCAGACCCCACCCAGGCCTCCTAGGTTCCAACCAAGCCAAGAAGCAATTGTGTTTCTGAAGGAGACCCCTCCTCCCTTGTCCCACCTCTGCAGTGGGGATAGATGGAAAGAGCAAGGCCTAGGATAACCTCACACACTAGGTGGCCCCGCCCCTGGCATGCCCACCTCTCTCTGCTTCTGCTCCACGCCCCAAGCCTGGCTCCCAGCCTGAAACACACAGGCCCAGTGCAAAAGTAAAGCAATCAGGAAGTCAGGAAGAAAAGACTGCATTCCTGCTTCCTTCTCAGCAAGTTTTGCAAGCAATGGGCCTCCTCGGGCACAAAGCAATCTCCACAGCCAGGGTTCTCTCAGGTTGCTTTTCGGGGAAAGAGCCTCCAAGCTTCCTGAGAGCCCACCCACCATCCCAGCTGGTTATTCCCTCTGATGGTAAGCATTCCAGGTAGTGTGGAGCAGCCACCACCAGTATTCCTCCCTGGGACTCATACAGTCCCAGTTTGGGGATAAAACAAACATTTCCCCAGAACAGGCAGGGAGGATACTGGCATCCTCTCAGCTCCCAGGAAAAGGGTCATGGACACATCCCCTCCTGGAGGCCAGTGACATTGCCTGTCCCACACCCCCTTGGACTATGCTACCTGTATCTAGGAACCAAAGGCAACACCCAGCTCCTTTCACTCTCATGGGTTCTGGGGACAAATGATAACCCACTGGACATGGGGAGGGCACCTTCCCCCAACCAAGAAACTAAGGAATCAAGAGCGGAGCTGGGAAAAGGAGCTGCAGGGAAGGAGATGGGCTGGACCTAGATTCAGGTGGGCCCTGGGCAGGTCCCCAGTAACTGAATGAATGCCCATGAGGCACACTCAGTGGAGGGCAAAGGGGAGAAATAAGCCCAGAAGCAGCAAAGTGACAAGGGAGGAGTACAAGTAGCACCCAGGAATCCAGCAGAGGTCAGGGAGCTTGGGAGAGCTAGGGCAGGCAGATAAGGTTCTGGGCTGTTCCTCTTTGGGGCGACAGCCAGAGAAATAGCTCAGATAGTTGCATAACCCTTCTATTTGCCCAGAGCTTTTGTCCAGAAACTCTCTGTCCTGAGAGGTGATTAAAGAAGGCATCCAGCAAGAACTGCACAAGAAACGGAGTCAGCCGGAGAACAAGGAGTGGTCTTCCACTGCCTCACAGGAGGATGGAGGCCCACAACGCGTCTGCCCCATTCAACTTCACCCTGCCACCCAACTTTGGCAAGCGCCCCACAGACCTGGCACTGAGCGTCATCCTGGTGTTCATGTTGTTCTTCATCATGCTCTCGCTGGGCTGCACCATGGAGTTCAGCAAGATCAAGGCTCACTTATGGAAGCCTAAAGGGCTGGCCATCGCCCTGGTGGCACAGTATGGCATCATGCCCCTCACGGCCTTTGTGCTGGGCAAGGTCTTCCGGCTGAAGAACATTGAGGCACTGGCCATCTTGGTCTGTGGCTGCTCACCTGGAGGGAACCTGTCCAATGTCTTCAGTCTGGCCATGAAGGGGGACATGAACCTCAGGTAGGCCTGGGGGTGAGGAGGGAACAGCCTGGGACAGGAGCTACATTAGATATGTCACAATTGAGGGGAAGAGCTGGGCTAAAGCCAGGAAAAGGAGTGAATGCAGGCTGGGTGGAGGCTAGGGCAGGGGAAGTCTGGCATTTATTGCCAAGAGCTTATGCTGGGATGGGGGCAGGAGTTGGGGTACGTCTGGTTTAGGCACCAAGCCAAAGGGACCATACTGGTCCAGGAAGCTCGTGGTGATCTCCTTGCTTCCAGAGGTGTCTCAAGGATTGTCTTAAAGGAGCACTGATTAAAGCCAAAGGAACCTCTGGAGAACTGCATCCACCTACAACAGTGGACAAGTTGCCTGCTTTGAGCCCAGAGATTTAAAAGGTAGTGTGATTCGTTCCAAACATCATCAGGGAGATCAAGGTGACTTGGAACCAAATGAGCACCTCAAATTCCTGCAAAGCGGGCAAGAATTTCCAAAAGGTCCTCCCAATTACCTGGTCATCTAAGATGTTTTCTCTTTAAAGTCCCTCATTCCCCATCAGATGCAATGACATTTCCATGCAAAGGCACAACCAGGGAGATCCTAGAGTTTCCCAGCACCCACTCCAGATAGGCCAGCCCCATCTCAGCCACCCTGATAAGGGGAAGACAGCAGCACCCCCTAACCCCCTGCCCAAAGCATTATAAGCAGAAATCAGCAAGGGCTCGCTCCTGGAGACGCAGCACACAGGGGCTGGTTGATGCTCATCCTTCCAAACTGGGGAGACTCTAGTCTTGAACATCTGCCAGAGGAGCTACTTCAGACCTGCTCCAGCTCCAGCAGCCTGTGCTGAAGCTAAAGAAAACTCACTAGCAGAAGCTCTTGCTTTCAGTGAAACCTCAGTCTCAAGCCAGTCCCCCCTGGTTTAGTCCTCCGTGGAGACGCTATTCAATGCCAGGTATAGCAGCAGAACCCAGAAAGTCCATCTGCTTGTGTCTGTCAGCACCCTACTCCTAGCCAAACTTTCCTAGGAAAACTAACCCAGTCAAGAAGCCCCTCCTAGTGATGCAAAATGACACTGGGACAGATTTTTTAAATGAAAAAAGTGAGAATGGCTGGGCACGGTGGCTCACACCTATAATCCCAGCACTTTGGGAGGCCAAGGCAGGAAGATCACTTGAGACCAGGAGTTTAAGACCAACCTGGGCAACATAGCAAAACCCTGTGTCTACAAATATATACATATATATTTAATTAGCCAGGCATAGTGGCACATGCCTGTAGTCCCAGCTACTTGGGAGGCTGAGATGAGAGGATCTTTGAGCCTACGAGTTCAAGGCTACAGTGAGTCATGATCACACCACTGCACTCCAGCCTGGGCAACAGAGTGAGACCCTGTCTCTCTCTCAAAAAAAAAAAAAAAAAGGAAATAAAAAAGTGAGAGTGAATGAGAGTTGGGGTTTAACAGGATCTGCCATCTGAGAAGCTCTGGGCTCTTTTTCCATATGATTCAGCCCTCACTTTAGTAGTCAATGGGAAGAGAGGCACAAAGAGGGCATTTGGCTTGTGCCATCACCCACGGAAAGGTATTTCAATGTTCAACTACCTCACTGTGAGAAAATGCTTTCCTCTGTCTAATCCACATCCTCTCTGCTACAAAGCAAGCCCTTGGTCTTGGATCTGGCTTCTGGACAAGGCTCATGGCAGCCTGTGTGTCCCAAGAATCCTAGAGTATATCTGAATTTTGGTGTATGAGGGATGCAGAAGTCAGGGGCCTGCGAAGGGGTACTCTGAGGGCTTTGTGTTTCTGTGGAAGAAGCAGAGCAGGGGACGTGGAAGGCAACTGTGCTTTTAAGTGTGAGTGGCCAGATGTCCCAGCCCCATCGCCAGTGGCCACTATTGAGGCCTCTGCCACAATGCCTACATTGCTGTGGCTCTAGGCCCCACCCAGGCAGAGCCTCTGGTGACTCAAGAACATGACCCCTCATGCTCTCCTGCTCAACCTCCTTGTCCAGACCCCTGATGACTGTCATTTTTACCTAGACCCCCACAAGAGATAAGCTCTGCTGGGACAGCCACCTTCTGCCATAAAACTCCTTCCCAACAAACAACCCTCCCATGCACATTAAACCATGTCTCAGATCCCACTGTCGGAATGGGAATCTGGTCATCTACCTTCATGTGCTGCCAGACTTCAAATCCCATTCCAATTTGGGACAACTTGTTACATGCATTATAATAATGACAACGATTATAAGAAACAGCCAGGCACAGTGCTAAACACCTTACCTGGATAAGTATATGTGATCCTCCTACAGCACCCTGGGGGACAGCATGTAACAAGTAGCATTTAGAGGTAAGGAAACTGAATCTTAGAGAGGTCAATACATTGGCTCCAGGTCTGGGTGGCTCCGGAACCTGTGCTTTTACTGAAATATCTTCCAGGTCAGCATTTCCACAAACAAAATGGCCAGACAGCCTCAAAGGCATGGGCAGACACCCGTGTCTCAGCAGCAAGTATTGTGTGGGAGCCAGAGCTTCCCACTTTTCAAAAGAAGGTAAAATATCCATTTTATGTGAAATCAGCAACTCATTCCATTTTTTTAAATGTGCAAACCAAACAATACATGTCAAAGGGCCAGCTGTAGCCCAAAGGCCCCAGTTTGAGATAAGCACAATACTCTACATCCCATTTAGAACTGGAAGGAATTGTAAGACACAGATCCCATTTTACACATGAAGAGGCTGAGGTCAGAGACTTGCCAGAGGTTTCCCAGAGTTTGTGGGAAACTGTGTCTCCCTCCACTCACTCTGCCTCATAGGTGGAGTCAGTCTGGGGACAGCCTGCCATCCCAGGAGGCCAGGCCACCAAGCAGACCCCTCAATGCAGCCAGGGACGGCAGCTCCCTCCTCAAGGAAGGCCACTAGACAAGTTTCAAAAAATGTAGGTGACAAACAGGCAAGAGAAAACGCCCTCACAGTTGAAGTGAGTATGGCTTGTCAGGCACAGAGAAGAGAGTGCTATGCCAGCAGGAACTGGCCTCTTTTGACCATCCTTGCTGCCCCAAGTTCATCTGCTCCCCCTGCCACCATCGGACTCACAGCAGAGCCCAGAGCCAATGGCCATGGGGACAATGGGCTTGGACACAACCCAAGCACTTCCACAGGTCTCCCAGCCATGATGTAGGAAGCTCAACCAGGACAAGATGGAAGCCACTGGGGTCCCAGAAGTTTTCCACTTCATAGAGACTGTGTTGAGGCCCCTCACAGCTCCCTCAGCTTCTGCCTCCAATCTGTGCATTGACGGACACTCGAACGAGTCCCTTAAATGGGGTACACAGATGTCCAAAAGCAAGGTCTATGCTGTGCTCTTGGAACTTAAGCAGGAGGGAAAAATAAAAAAAACAAATGTGCCCCTTTCCCCCTGAAAGGCAACCAGGCCTACAATCTCAGGAATCTAGAGTCTGAAAAAGTCCTTGCCCGTCCCTGTCCCTTGGGGTAAACCAAGGATCACAACAGTCACGGATGCCAGCAGGCTAGGAGATGGATGTCCCTGACCTGACCCCAGGACCTGTGCAAGTGGAGGAAGTACCTGGGGATCAGGGAACATGGCTCCTGCATACCCAAGCTGACAAGGCACACCAAGTCCAAACTCCAAAACTCCTGACACACAAGCCAAAGTAAGCATGATTCCTCTGCTCTAGGTCACCAGAACAAACACACAAGTTGTGTTTGGCTTTTCCCTAAGAGAAGATCAACAGTAGCATTGAAACCCCCTGTATTCCTATTCCCAATCTCATTACCCTCCACCACTTGCCAAAGGGAGCATCCCTGGGAATTTGGTGTTCAGCATTTCCACCGACCCTTTTCAACTATTATATACGTATATATTCATAAACAAGATAGACTGCGGGATTTACGTCTTTTAATTTTGTACGAACAGTATTATACTGTCCACATCACCTAACAGCTTGCTTTTTTTTTTTTTTTTTGAGAAATAGGCATGTAAAGAAAATAGCTACCTCATGTATCTGAACTGCTGTGCAGTTTGCTTGCATTTATCCATTCTCCTGTTGTCAGATTCATGTGGATTTTACGTCTCGCTTCTGTGAACAGACTTGTGTGTGTCCCTCTGCCCACATGAGGGCATATGCAATTGAAGCAGGACTGCTGGGTCGTGGGAGTCACACATCTTTAAGAGGTCTCCAAGGTCATTGTTCACTTCACACGTTCCCTAGCAGTGTCTGAAGATCCCTGTTTCTCTGTGCCTTCATCTATATTTGGAATTGTCAGACTTTTTAATTTTTTCCAAATGAAAACAGTGAAGCAGATCGCAGTAGTTTTAAATTTGATTTCATGGGAGGCCTACCACATTTCCACGTGTGCGTTGGCCATTCATGTGTCCTCTTCTGGAAACATTGGGTCCTTTGCCTGTTTTTCTATGGGATTGTGGTTTGGGTGGGTTTTGAAAATTAATTTCTAAAGTTATTGTTTTATATATGTTGCAACAGTCTATTCACAGTTTGGAGCTGGTCTTTACACTTTGATAATAATGTCTGATAGATTGCTTATGTTAATTTAGTCAAATTTGCCAATATTTTTCCTTTGTGGTTTATGTTTTTTAGGGGTTTCTTTAAGAAATCTTTTACTATCTACAAGCCTGTCCAACATGGCAAAACCCCGTCTCTACTAAAAAATACAAAAAAATTAGCTGGGCATGGTGATGTGCACCTGTAATCCCAGCTACTCAGGAGGCTGAGGCATGAGAATCACTTGAACCCAGGAGGCAGAGGTTGCAGTGAGCCAAAATCATGCCACTGCACTCCAGCCTGGGCGACAGAGCAACACCCTGTCTCAAAAAAAAAAAAAAAATTTACTGTCTACAAAGTTACAAAGATATTACCCTGTATTTTCTTTGAAAAGTTTTAAATGTTTGATTTTCACATGGAGAGCTCCAATCAATGTAGAACTTATTTTTATGTATGGCATGAACTAATTTTATCTTTTCCATACAAATAGAAGATTCCAAGCCACGTTGAGTGAATTTTTCTCCAGGTATTTGTAATGACATCTCTCTCATAAATGCAGGGCTTGTGTCTGGATCTCTCTTCTCTTCTACGGGTCTATGTGGCTACCCTTGTACCAGTTCCACACTTTCTTAATTACAATTTTATAAGTTTTGTTATCTGAAAGTTAAGTCCCCCTACTTTGTTCTTGAAAATCATGGGCCGGGCACAGTGGCTCACGCCTGTAATCCCAGCACTTTGGGAGGTCAAGGCTGGCCGATCACGAGGTCAGGAGATCGAAACCATCCTGGCTAACACGGTGAAACCCCGTCTCTCCTAAAAATACAAAAAATTAGCTGGGCGTGGTGGCGGGCGCCTGTAGTCCCAGCTACTTGAGAGGCTGAGGCAGGAGAATGGCGTGAACCCGGGAGGCAGAGCTTGCAGTGAGCCAAGATCACACCACTGCACTCCAACCTGGGTGACAGAGCGAGACTCTGTCTCAAAAAAAAAAAAAATCATGTTAGCTATTCTTAGCCTTTTACTCTTTCACTTGAGTTTCAGTATCACCTTTCAAGTCTACAAAAAAAATTATAAGTCTGGAAGTTTTATTAAATGTGCATTACATTTATATATAAATTGAGAGACTATCTTTATAATATTGAATCTTCCCATCTATAAATATGATATAGCTTTTCTTTTACTTAGGCCTTTTTTAATACCTTTCTATAAAGGTTTGTAATTTCTTTCATAAAGATCTTACATGTCCTTTAGATGTATAAGTATTTTCTAGTTTTGTGAATATCATAAATGGTGTCTTTTAAAATATATATATATTTGTTTCTAGTATATCAGACCCAATTGATTGACTGACTGATGCTAATGTATTTAGAACCTCATACATTTTCTTACTTACCAGTTATAATGGAAAATTACTTAGATTTCTTCTGTGGACAATCCTATCATTGGCAAAACAAGAAAGTTTCATTTCTTCTTTTCCCATCCCTATACTTTTTCTATTTCTTGTTTTGCTGTGCTTACTAGGGCCTATATATAGTATAATTTATAAAACAGGTAATAATAATGACTATCTTTGCTTTATTCCTCTTGTTAAAGAAAATCCCTCTATTTACCATTAAGTTTAACGTTTAATATACTTTTTCTAATAGATTTCCTTTCAAGTTAAGGAATTTTCATTCCGTTGCTAGTGTACTAAATTTTTATTATGTAAGAACATTAAATTTTGTTGACTTTTCTATAGCTACAAAATTGTACCATTTCTTTAATAATATAGTAATATGTATTAATAGATTATCTAATGTTAAATCATTCTTACTCATCTTGTTCATTGTATTTTTTAAAACACTTATTTGCTAATATTTTATTATTTTTGTTTCTATGTTCATAAATAAGAGTGGTCCCCAATTTTCTTTTCTCGTAATATCATTCTCCAGCTTTCGTTCCAAGATCATATTAACTTTATACAATAAATTAGGGCATGTTTCCCCTTTTTATATTATCTGGACAGATTTGCATAATATTGCAACAATCTGCACTTTGCATGTTTAGTAGAACACTACCGTAAGACAGTATAAATCATGTAGGGTTCTAGAAGATAGGTTTTGAACTGCTTATTAAATGTCTTAAATGATTCTAAGTTGAATCAGGTTTTCGGCTTCATATTGACTTGGTTTTGTAGGTTATATTTCCCATGAAATTGTCCATTTAAGTTAAAAATGAAAGTATGAAAATGTCCTTAATGACTTTTTAAAATCTTCATTTTCTCTGTAGTTATGTTCCCTTTTTCACACTAACCTCATCAATTTGTGCCATCTCTCTTTTCCCTGGTCTGCCTTGCCAGAGGTGCCTATTTAATTGGCCTTTAAAAAAAAAAAGAAAAAAAAAAAACCCTATTTTTGGTTTTACTGATTCTAACAATTTACAAAACTTAAAAAATTTCTTCCTTTTCTTTTTATTGGGTTTTTCTCATTCTAACCTCTTAAGGTGCTTAACTCATTAATTTTTAATCTTCTTTTTCAATATAAATATGTTAGGCTATAAATTGCCCTTTAATAATTGCTTTATTTGCTCCCTGCATGGTTTTTAATTACTATTTATTGAGATATAATTCACATACCATAAAATCCATTCTTTAAATTGTACGATGCCTTGGTTTTTAGCATAATTCCAAGCCTGTGAACCTATCACCATTATCTAATTTCAGAACATTTTCAATACCCCAAAAAGGAACTCCATCCCATTTAGCAGGAGTCCCCATTTCTCTCTCCTGCTCCAACCCTTGACAACCACTAATCTTTCTGTCTCTATGGATTTCACATAAATGGAAGCATTCAATATGTGACCTTTTGTATCTATACTTCTTTCACTTAGCATATTTTCAAGGTTCATTCATGTGATAGCATGTCACAATACTTCATTTGTTTTTGTAATTGAATAATATCCCATTGTATGGATATAATACATTTTGCTCATCCATTCATTCAGCTGATGGACACATGGGTTGTTTCTACTTGTTCCCTAGTATGAATAATGTCTATGGAAGCTCACAGGCAAGTTTTTGTGTGAACATGCTTTCTGTTCCCTTGGGATATATACCTAAGAGTAGAATTGCTGGGTTATATGGTGACTCTGTGTTTAAATTTTCTAGAAACTGCCAAACTATTTTCCAAAGCACCATTTTACTTCCCACCACCAGTGTATGAGGATTCCTAATTTTCCATATACCCTCCAACACTTGTTATTGTCCAGCTTTTTAATTATAGCCATGCTAGTAGATATAAAGTGGTATCTCAAAGTGGTTTTGATTTGCATTTTCCTAATAAGTAATGATGTTGAGCATCTTTTCATGTGCTCATTAGCCATTTGTATATCTTCTTTGGGAAAATATCTCATTCAAATCCTTGGCCCATTTTTTACTTGTTTTTTATTATTGCATTATAAGAGTTCTTCATATATTGGCCGGGCGCGGTGGCTCACGCCTGTAATCCCAGCACTTTGGGAGGCCCAGGCGGGTGGATCACGAGGTCAGGAGATCGAGACTATCCTGGCTAACACGGTGAAACCCCATCTCTACTAAAAATACAAAAAAAATTAGCCGGGCGTGGTGGCAGGCGCCTGTAGTCCCAGCTACTCGGGAGGCTGAGACAGAAGAATAGCGTGAACCCAGGAGGCGGAGCTTGCAGTGAGCCGAGACTGCGCCACTGCACTCCAGCCTGGGCGACAGAGCAAGACTCCATCTCAAAAAAAAAAAAAAAGAGTTCTTCATATATATTCTGAATATTAGACCCTTATCAGATATATGACTTGCAAATATTTCCTCCCATTCTCTTGTTGGCTTTTCACTTTCTTGATGGTGTCCTTTGAATCACAAGTTTTTAATATTAATGAAGTCTGACTTGCCTTTTTCTTTGGCTGTTCGTGCTTTAGATGTCTAAGAAACCATTGCCTAATCCAAAGTCCCCTCTCCATGTTTTTTAAATATGTATTTTATTATTTTTATATTCTAAATACTGTTTCCACCATGATTTCATATTTGATGATATAATTAGAAAGTTCCCCTCCCCTCATCCCATGATCCTTTTATTGGTTGCTCAGTTTCAATGCTCCTCCCATCCCAGGTCTAATACCTCAATTCTGGTCCCTTCCTTGGGCATTAAAGCCTCCACAGTGCCAAGACTAACACCCCACTCCCCTCCAGAACCCCTCTATGAAGCTTCAGCTTGAGTTCCCCCACTACTTTGCATTTGTTTCTTGTCCGTGGGCACCTTTTTTTTTAGTGGAGTGGCGCTAACATAGCTCACTGTAACCTCAACCTTCTGGGCTCAAGCCATCCTCCTGCCTCAGCCTCCCAAGTAGCTGGGACTCCTGGTGCACACCACCACACCTGGCTAATTTTTGTGTGTGGTTTTTGGTTTGTTTGTTCATTTGTTTGTGTGTAGAGACAGGGGTCTTACTTTGTTGCCCAGGCTGGTCTCAAACTCCTGGCTTCAAGCAATCCTCCCTCCTCGGCCTCCCTAAATGCTGGAATTATAGGCATGAGCCACTATGCCACACTTAAATTGAGTGTTAATTTCTTACAAGCTCAAGTGTGTATTTAAGTGTTCACGGGGGTGGGGGAGTTCCTATTACCTAGTTCACAATTTTCTTTGAGGGACTCTTCTCACCTCTAACAGCTCTTATCCTTATGACATGCCTACCTATTGTTCTTGATGGCTACGCTCTGGAACCTTTGATATAGGCTGCTCTTCATGCATATTTAAGCCATATTCCATCTTTATAGAAATAATGAAAGAAGTGTAGATGGAGGGTAGGGCTGTGGGGAGGAGGAGGGACACACTGAGTGTGGTTTTCCTAAGATCTTGCCAAGCCCTCACCTCCCAACCATCTTCCCACTGGAATAAAAGTCAGAGCCATATATTGTTAATGTAAATGTCCATAAATCTAAGGAGATGCCCTATCAGCTTCCTTCTCAGTTGACCTTTCTGGAGGGCCTCTCCCTAGACAGGGTCCTGGGACTAACATATATAAGATTCCAAATGGAAAAGGAAATTGGACAAGTAGGATACATATTAGAGCTGGAAGGACATATTATTCAGGCTCTGAGTGTCATAATTTATTTTAAATAATATCAAGAGGAACCAGAAAGTAAAGAACATGAGAACACCAGAGTTGGGGACTGGAATACTATCCAAGATGCAAAGCAAATCTGACCAGGTTATCTTGTCACTTACTCAACATGGGTATCTATTACTGCCTTCTCTACTACCCCACCATTATGGCCCTTCAATTATTCTGTTTCTTACTGCTTCACTATTTCTTTTACAGTCCTTTTAATCATGGTATCTGTTTATTGATTTTTCTAGTAGGGTTTTTGACTTCTGCCTGAGCATCACTCCCATGCCACCCATCCCCAAAGACCAAGTGTCCTGTCACTGTGTCTCACACTCAGACTCCCCACGAGGTAAAATGTGCTGATATAGCTAATTGTTATTGTCTCCGTTGGACAAAGTCACTACAAGAAGCCATTCCCTAGGCTCTAAACCAGACATTTAGTAACTGTGGGTCAGGTGCCATTCCATGGTCCAATGGGCTAATGACCAGAGTAATGGAATCACACAGTTGGCTTTCTACAAAATGGGCTTGGCATGGGGGAGGTGCTCAATGCGAAAAGGGTTCCATTACAGAGAAGGAGATCAGAATGGCTCCTTCCACAATGAAGCACACAGGGATTGAAGCAGTTGAACCACCCTAAGTTCAAATGCTGCCTTGGCCACTTACTACCTTGTGCGACTTTGAGCAGGACACAACTCTTCTAGTCCCCAGCTTCCTTGTCAGCGAAAAGAAGATAGTATGCTTACTGCCTAATGTTATGGGGAAAAGGAACTGAAGCCACATATGTCAAGCACTTAGCACAGTGGCACTTAGCAGGCACTCAACAAAATAGTCTGTATTTATGGGCTCTCTCTCTCTCCCCTCTTCCCATGTCTCCCACCAGCATTGTGATGACCACCTGCTCCACCTTCTGTGCCCTTGGCATGATGCCTCTCCTCCTGTACATCTACTCCAGGGGGATCTATGATGGGGACCTGAAGGACAAGGTGCCCTATAAAGGCATCGTGATATCACTGGTCCTGGTTCTCATTCCTTGCACCATAGGGATCGTCCTCAAATCCAAACGGCCACAATACATGCGCTATGTCATCAAGGTAAGAACCTGGGAGGCTTGACAAATTAGGGCAAAAGAGTAAAAACACCATATACAACTATAAGATATAATCATTATATTAATAATAAACATACATATGCTCCTACTAGATGCTAAGTTTTATGCTATGCACTCTAAGGATTCACTGTCACCAGAGTTTGATATTTGCAGAAAGTGAAGTAACACATGAGGCTGGCGTGGTGGCTCACGCTTATAATCCCAACACTTTGGGAAGTTGAGGCGGGTGGATCACTTGAGGTCAGAAGTTTGAGACCAGCCTGACCAACATGACGAAACCCCGTCTCCATTAAAAATACAAAAAAAAAAAAAAAATTAGCCGGGCATGGTAGCGAGTGCCTGCAATCCCAGCTACTCAGGAGGCTGAGGCAGCAGAATCGCTTGAACCAGGGAGGGCAGGGGTTGCAGTGAGCCGAGATCGCGCCACTGCACTCCCGCCTGGGCCACAGAGCAAGACTCCATCTCTAAAACGAAAAAAAAAAAAAAAAGAAAAGAAAGAAAATGAAGTAACACACGAGAGAAACAAGATCCAATTCCAGTGTACACGCAAGTATTTGCAGAAGGCAAGGAGATGGGAACAGTGAGGGCTGGAGTGGTCAAAGAGCCTTATTAAAAAGGAAGGGCTTGAGGCATTTAGGTAAACCTGGGGAGAAGCCTGAATAGAGTTCAGCAGGCACTAAGGGCAAATTTGGCTGATGTGGCAAGAAGCTAGAGGAGACAGGTAGTGTACCCATTCCCAGCATTTCAAGAGAGGGATGGGGTGGGAAGTGGAGTGAATTAAGGCCACAAAGGTTTTGAGAAGCACTGTGGTCACAGACAGGGCATCATGCCACTGCTTTGTGTGCAGAACTCCTAGAGTGCAGCTATGGTCTCTCCACCAATATTTTCAACCTTGGAGTTTGGTCCCTGCCAGCCTCCCCCTTGGCTCACTATTCATCCCCCAGGGCCAGGAGGTCATCCTGGTCCTCAGGAAGGACTTGACCTCCTGACCTCCTGTACCATCTCTGCCCCTGGATCAATGCCTCTGGCCTGGTCTGCAAGGCGTGCTGCTGAGAACCCCAAAGTTTGGCAGCAGCTTTGGGCCTGGAACAAAGAAGTCAAGAGTCCAGTTTTCAGGGGGGTTTTATTTTCACACTACCATTGTCTCAAGAGTAGTTTTTGCCCTTGTCCTGTCCCAGTGCCATGGCCACAGCTCCCCTTCCCGCCTGCTGGAGGACATGGAGGAATCATCCCTCCTCCTTTCTGTGGCCAGTCACCCCACCTCAGCCCTGGATTGCAATCATTCTCTCTACCCTTGTACTCAAGAGACCTCCTTTTATTGATTATGCCCCTGGCCCAGCAGCCTCCCCTCTCTCTCATTTCTAAAATATCTCTGTATTGGTTCTTCACAATCAGCTTTGATACGAACTCACATATCTTCTATCTTCAAAAAACAAAACAAAAAGTGTCTCTCACTGGGATTTTTTGTGGAATCCACCTCCCATTCCACCTAATATCTCCCTTTGCTCTCCTTCCTAGCCAGGTTTTAGGAGTAGTCCCCCTCACTCCTCTCTCTCTCTGTCAATCGCTTCCTCTCAAACACCTTCCATTTCCCCCATGCCACCGCCAGAGCTCTCTCATGAGTGACCAGGCCCTCAGCAATTCGTTTCCATTATTTGAATCCCTCTCTTCTCTCCTTGGTCTCCCATCCACCCAGCATCTTGATGACCACCTGCTCCACTTTCTTTGCCAAATCCAATGGACATTTCTCAATCCTTCCTTGACCTTCTAGCAGCATTGGACATAATTGACCACTGCCTCCTCAAAAGCCTTCTCTGTCAGCTTTAGTGACTCTAAGCTCTGCTGCTTTCCTCCTACCTCTCATGACCTTCAGACTCCCTTATGAGTTCCTCTGGTCAAAGGCACTTCTCTGCATTCAGACCAAGCTTTCTGCCTTTCTCACCAGACCTCTCCCAGCACAGGATCTGGTCCCTCTCAGGTCTGCAATTACCATCTGCAAACCGAGACTTCCAGAACAGCATCATCAGATGTCAACTCTATCCTCACTCCAGAATCCATTTATTATCTACCAGGTCTTTCTATCTGAATATACCTCAGACATTTAAAACTCAATATATGTTAAAGTCATCTCCTCCCCATGTGGTTATCTCAGTCGGTGGCACTGTGTGTGTGCCCAGTTGCCCCAACCAGAAACTGGAAGTCATTCTCAATGTTCCCTTCTCCCTCACCACTCACACCCATCTAATCAATGACTGTCGATTCCACCTTCTGTTGCTGGAATCCATTCATTCCTCTCTATCCTTACCTCTCACTAGACAACTCAAATGGCCTTCTCATCCAACCTCCTCACCCAGTTCTAACCTGAGGGTGAAGATGTGAAGTACAAACTCTATCATGTCACTCCACTGCTTAAAGCCTCTCATTGACTCCTTCCCCCTAGGATAGTTTAAACTCCTTAATGTGGCACTTCTTGATTTGGTTTCAACTGACCTCACCAGTCTCAGCTCTTTTCTCTTTGCACGTGCCCTTCTCTTCACCTGGAACACTCTTCTTCCCAATTCTCACCCCACTCACCATCTTTCACTGGATCACTCCCACTCATCCTTTAAGTCTCAACACAAATAGCGCCTCCCCCAGGAAGCCTTCCTTAACCTCCTAAGCCTGAGTAAGATGCTTGTCCTATTCACTCCCATAACACCCAACACTCCAGCTAACCCCTGTAGCAATTATTACACTGCATTAAGAACATCTGTTCATTTTTATTCCCCACTCATTTATCAAGAAGCAAGACCATAAGGCTGTCTTAATTAACACTGAATCCACAGCACCTATCACAGTGCCCCCATAGCTAATGCCTGAGAATAAATAAAGGAATGAAGGGCAAGTCCTGTCTGCTGCTCTTCCACACACCAGCAGAAAAACAACATACACAGAGAAACATGTTTGTGTGCATCATTTCATTTTTTTAAGATAGTTTGTGGGGTGCATAAGATTGCTTTTTTAAAAAATCCTATACACCCATAAACGATCTTAAAGAAATGCATATAAAATATAAAGAATATTAAAATGTGAAGTGACCACTGCTATCATTTAATGCTACTCTGCCCTCCTCCATTTTATAGGTGGGAAAACTGGGAAACAGAATACCAAGTCATAGTGCTAATGACAACTGATGTGAGAACATGTCTCTTTTCTACCTCAGAGTAGCTTTAAAAGTGTTTCTCTGAGGTTGCAAAAAGCAGAATCTCAGACCCTTTTTTTTTTTTTTTTTCGAGACGGAGTCTCACTCTGTCGCCCAGGTTGGAGTGCAGTGGCGCGAGCTCGGCTCACTGCAAGCTCCACCTCCCGAGTTCACACCATTCTCCTGCCTCAGCCTCCTGAGTAGCTGGGACTACAGGCGCCCGCCACCATACCCGGATAATTTTTTGTATTTTTTAGTAAAGACGGGGTTTCACCGTGTTAGCCAGGATGGTCCCGATCTCCCGACCTTGTGATCTCCCCGCCTTGGCCTCCCGAAGTGCTGGGATTACAGGCGTGAGCCACCACACCTTGCCGAGAATCTCAGATCTTAAAGCTGGAGAAGCCTTTAAGATGAAGTTCAGTCTCCTGCCTTATTCCCAATTTGCAGATAGAGTAACCGAGGCCCGGAAAAGTTACTTGGCAGAGCCAGGATTATTTCAACCAGTCTGTTCCTGTTGTGTTGCACATTCACTACTCAATGCCACAGACGAAATGAAGTCAAAATGAAGCCAGAGAACATTAAAAGGGCTAAGAAATACCTTGGCTGGAAAAACAGAGACTAGTAATAAGGGACTACATAAAAGGTAATCTAAAAAACCCAGGCATGCCCTGGACCCATTTTGCCCCTGGCTAAACCTCCAGGGTTAAACCACCACAAAGTCAACAGCTACACTGATCTTCCTATATTCCAAAACTGGAATCACTCCTGTGAGGATGCAGAGACTAACATGTGGGTCAAGCTGCAAAAGCTAAGGTTTCCTTGCTTCTATGGCTCTTCGAGGACTATGCTCATCCTTCGTCACCCTGTCCCATAAATAATATAGTGAGTGCCAAACTGGAAAACGAACAAATGATTGTCCTAGCCTCTTACGCACACATAACCCTCCTTGGACCTTGCAAATCAAAATAACCCAACTTTCAATAACTAGCTCTGGCAGCAGGTATCTGCTCACACCGGGTTCAACCAGTTGCATTCGCTGGTGGAAGGTCACATTTAGATATACCAAGATACAATTTCAGGCATGCTCATTTTAAAAGGCAATTCAAGTAATTTTTAACTTACCCATGCAAGGGTTTATCCAAAGGCTATGTGGCTAAAAGGGTGATGAATCTGAGAATGACATGGTCCAGGAGCCACTTTCACCATAAGCCATCCACCACTCTTTAATAAGGATCCCACCATTTCATTGACTCAACACTCTACTCATGCATTTCCCACACCTGCTGCTACTGCTGAACTGACCCCTAACTCTCCTTTGTCTTACAACTTCTGCCAACTTGTGGCTATTGCTCCCAGACCTCTGTTCTGACACTTGTCCCTGCTATTGCTTCCCTCTCTGTAATCCTGCAAACTTCCTAAATGAGAGAATCTGATTATTTCTACCACTCACCAGCCTGTGCGGGCCACCTTTGTGGGTAGACTGTGGACATGTCATCTCATGTGTAAGCCAATGGATTGGCTGCCCATGAATGAGCACTCATCCCAGTTGTGAGCAGGGCAATGAAGTCAGGTGGTACAAAATGTGGTAGCCTATGGAGAAGCAACTACCCGGGGCCACTTGTCTCAGCAGGAGACAGGGGTTGTAGACAGGATAAATTTCCAGAGATGGCAGCAGTGAGAGTGACAGGAACCTCTAGAATGTTAATTCCTCCCCTTTGAGTAATAACAGGAGTTACAGTTTAGTGAGCGGTTCTTATATGCCAGGTCCTATGCCGTCAACCTCACTCAGGTTGAGTGACTCCCCAGAGCTTACACACCTGGAGACTAGCAGAGGCAGCTTTCCCACCAGGATCATATCAAATTATGTGCTCATAACCACAACTGTGCAGTCCCCAAGAGTCAGAGAACATGAGTGAGAGAATAAGAGTGAATGCCTATACAGAAGAAGAGGGCTTCTGGATTCGTGGACAATTCCTGTAACTCAATGTCTCCTACATTATCCACTCCACTCTTGATAGAGATTAAAAATTATTTGACTGTTGGGTAAAGGACAAATTCGAAAGACAGAAATCTAAAAGGGGAAATCAACTAAAAATGCAAAGGTAAACTGAGAAGTTCATTAGCTAATAAGTCTTTTAATAAAACTTGAAGCACATGGTTATTCAAGAGATGTGTGAAAGTCCTTCCTATGCTGGGATAGGACCACTAATTGGTATAGGTGATGTTTTATATGATCATATCAGTTGCAACAAGTATTAAAAACAGAAACACAAAGCTGTGCAGCTGAAATTTGAGCAATATAAATGTTAAAATGTCGTTAGGACATTATGAATGTACTTAATGCCACTGAACTGTACACTCAAAAGTGATTAAAATGGCAAACTTTGCTATACATATTTTACTTTTTTAAAATGTTACTAGGAAATATAAAATGCAACACATGTGAATGAACCAAAAAATGAACCAACACATGTAACTATTACAAAATAACATGGTAAGTTTGAGAAAAGTTAAGTATTTCTTTACTCAGGAGATAAAAGGGACAGTCTTAAATTTACACATACCTGTTTATCATTTTGGAGGACGCAATTCTCTAAAATGCACACTGGAAAGTACAAAGTGCATGGAGTGCACATGCACTTTGAAAGGTTGCATCCTATGTTGCACAATGAAAAACCCTATAATTTCATTCAGAGTAGACCTGCATAGTTTCCAATGATGTTGTTATCACCCAAGATATTTCTGAAAGTTCTTTTGGGAACTTCCTTCATATTCAATTTGCAGGTCACTCAAGAAAGTAGGTTTGTCCCCTTATTATTAGACATCATTTTGGGTTTAAAACCGTATTTCCGGGCTTGATCATCCACCTTGTTTACCAGCTTTGTTTCAAATGACTCTTGGCAATTTCCAGAATTGATCCTAAAATGGATAAAATCCCTATCTGTAATCAAGGTATTTGAGACAAATATGTATGACAAGTTCTCATGAGTTTCAAAGTATGTGGAACAATGACAGTATTGTAGGAATGTGTATATAAGTTCCAAAAATACTTGACTTTTAAATAATATCCATTTTGCAGGAGTCCTGAATAGCCTCACGTAACACTTCACTGAAAGTCTGCTATCCAGAGATGTGTCAAAAGCAGTAACTGTGCTTGGCTGAGTTTGTAATAATCAAAGTGTTAATCAGCTGTCCCCAAGCTTCCTAGCTACTGATACGAAATCTAAAAAGATGGGCTGGGTGCAGTGGCTCACACCTGTAATCCCAGCACTTTGGAAGGCCAAGGCAGGAGGACCGCTAAGAGTCCAGGAGTAAGACCAGCCTGGGCAACATAGTAAGACCCTGTCTCTAATGTTAATAATTTTAAAAAAATTTAAAGAAAGGAATCCAAAAAGAAGATAAAGGTCTTTCATATTCCTTTCCACTTCCAGTGTTTTATTGCAATGTTTCCCACCTCCAATTTCTACCTGTGCTTCCCCACCTCTGTTCCTCTCTATCCCCAACTCTTCTAATTGCCTTTTCTTGTCTTCATTCCCAGGGAGGGATGATCATCATTCTCTTGTGCAGTGTGGCCGTCACAGTTCTCTCTGCCATCAATGTGGGGAAGAGCATCATGTTTGCCATGACACCACTCTTGATTGCCACCTCCTCCCTGATGCCTTTTATTGGCTTTCTGCTGGGTTATGTTCTCTCTGCTCTCTTCTGCCTCAATGGACGGTAGGTATTTTTTTTTTTTTTAAGAAAGGGTCTCACTCTGTTGCCCAGGCTGGAGGGGAGTAGCACATTCTCAGCTCACTGCAGCCTCAACCTCCAGGGTTTAACTGATCCTCCTGCCTCAGCCCCCCAAGTAACTGGGACTATAGGCACAAGCCACCATGACCAGCTGATTTAACTTTTCTGGAGACAGGGTTTTACCATGTTGCCCAGGCTAGTTTTGAACTAATGAGCTCAAGTGATCCACCTGCCTCAGCCTTCCAAAGTGCTAGGATTACAGGTGTGAGCCACTGCATGCCTGGAGATAGGTATTATTTTAGGTCCCACTGTCCCATGGGCTTCATTCTTGTCCTAGTCTTTCAGGAAACGAATAAGAAGCTAGGAACCTGAAATCTGGGCAAGACACTTTCCTGGCAATATGTTCAGATGCACTAACTGGACAAGAGACTTTAGACTTGAAAAAAATTGAATGAAGGTATTGAACGGGTTAAAAATCCAGACACCAAAGGTATCCAAACACCAGCAGCAATAGCAAAGTACCCCTGTCCAGGGTCTAGATTCCATCTGCTGCGAAACTCTTTGGTAGCAGCACTGGGACAAAGTTGCTCCCTCCAGTTCCCTCTGAGTGTATGTGGGGTTTTCTTCACCGGCACAGGTGCAGACGCACTGTCAGCATGGAGACTGGATGCCAAAATGTCCAACTCTGTTCCACCATCCTCAATGTGGCCTTTCCACCTGAAGTCATTGGACCACTTTTCTTCTTTCCCCTCCTCTACATGATTTTCCAGCTTGGAGAAGGGCTTCTCCTCATTGCCATATTTTGGTGCTATGAGAAATTCAAGACTCCCAAGGGTGAGTACTGAAATTATCCCCACTTCAAGTTCTGCTCCAATATTAGACCTGAGCCTGCCAACAAGCAAGTTTCTAGCAGGGACTTTTTGGATAGGGCTTTAACTCTTATCAAGTCACTAAGAACCAGGTAGCCCCAAGAAGCACCCAAGAAGCATTAAAGATCCAAGACTACTTCCATCAACTGCACTCCATTTCTTCCTTCTAGCTGGGAGAATGAAATTGCAGATGCAGTTTACCTCATAAAACTGAAGCAATTTGGGCTGCTTTGTCTCAGTGGGGAGACATCATAGGACAAAACTGCCTTGGACAACTGAGGTTATTAGTTGTGTGAAAGGCCTCTATTCGCAAGAGTTGGGGAAGTTTCCATTTCTCAGGACTAGGTTCTCATTTCCTGGAACCAGATCAGAGCCACAGCACCACTGGCACCTCCGTATGAGGAAAAACATATGAAAGCAATGCACCCTAATATAACCCAGAATAAAGAAAAAAAAAAAAGATTCCTCAACTCTAGTTACGCAGTAAAGGAAACTTAAGCATACGGTTGTTAAACAGTAACTACCTCCACAATAAACTTAATATGATTTATACTTTACTCTGATCACTATGGGGTTAACATAGCATCTCTTCTCTAAAATGCTCAGAGTATTACCTTTCAAAATAAAATTGAACCTCAAGACAGACCAGAGAACAGAGTGCCTTCCTCAAAGTGCACTTTAACACCAATTTTAAAAAAAAAAAAAAAAAAAAAAAAAAACAGGACATTCAAACCCACTTTATAACACATTTCATTATAACTCTCAACATTAGTATATTCTTCCTAAGTACCTACCCAAATCCTTCAACTGTCCCTTCATGTCCATGAATTGAAGTCCCCTTCAAAACCTTTCTAGACCCTAGGGACTGTGATTTACACCCTAGGAGAAATACACAACTTTCCCTATTGGAATTTGTTACATTATACTAGCAAGCAAATGCCGATTCTCTCTCCCTTTGCAATTAGCTAAGATGTAATTAGGTTGCCAAGCAGCCAACACGAAACAAGTACAGGCTGACCATACACTAGAACCATTTTAGAAGCTTTGGTTCAAAGCTACAGTAGAGTTGTGAGAAAGAATCTACTCTGATGCTTATCTGAGAGGAACGCAAGAGATTTGCTGCCCTCTTACAAAAAGTGCACAGAAGTTTCTAGACCAACCAAATTCCCAGATTTGAGGTTTTAGTACCAGAAAGACCTGAAGTGACCTCAAAGGACAATACTCTATGGATCTTTAGCTCTCAAGACTTGAAAAGAACTTTCCTCACAGTGTATCTCAGAAGACCCCAGTGGAAACACTAAATCAAAGCAACGTATTTCTTTGGACCTAATGGCCCCAAGAAGCTATTCTCAGGGGGGAGGAATCTGTCAAGTTTTTATACTTTTCATTCCTGCACCTGATGGGAGAACAACTCTGTATAGAGAACTCTCCCATCTGTATAGAAAGGTGCAGGAATCAAAGCTATCTTCAAATTTGCATCACCGCCTACACCACGGACAAGAAGAGGTAGATCAATTGGGGGTTGGAGGGAAGAACTGGAAACTCTCTTGGTTAGACTTTCTCGAAGATCTTTCCTGCCTGCCTCCTCATTCCCTGAATGCAACACAGACCTTGCATACATAAACTCATCTCCTGTTGTTTTACTGTATAACGAAGTTAGAAGTGAAGTGATGATGAAGACACAATAGTCTAATTCATTAGGACTTTTACTACTAGTACTACCATTAGGGAGACTGAGGGGAAAGTGAGTTTAAAGAGTAAACCATGGGAGAGACGACAGAGATGGAAAATATATACTTAGCACACTCTAGGGCTGAGTTGGTATTTTTGTACTTTCCAGATTAAACAAGCTTCATTGTTCACTCCTCTTGTTCTCTCTCTACACCTGTAACCCTTTTTAACTTTACAGATAAAACAAAAATGATCTACACAGCTGCCACAACTGAAGAAACAATTCCAGGAGCTCTGGGAAATGGCACCTACAAAGGGGAGGACTGCTCCCCTTGCACAGCCTAGCCCTTCCCCTGGTGGCCTGGATTCTGGTCCCAAAGCAATTCTGAAAGCCAGTGTGGTAAACTAGAGAGAGCAGCAAAAACACCAGTCTTGCCTGAGTCTTTCTCCAGCATTTCCAGTACATCTATCAGAATCATCAAGTCTTGGCCGGGAACACAGACAGGGTGTCTACCCAAGAAGCCTCACCTATCCCCAACTTAGAATTTGCTACTTATTTTAAAGACTTGTTCAGTGACTGTAAACTCTATGAAACCAGAAACCGAATCTGCCTCTTGCTGGGATCTCTAAAAGTGTCTGATAAGCATCTTAAAGTCACTCAATTCCTGAACTAATCAATATATATGTTTAACCCATTACTCAAATACCCAAATCCCATTCCAAGTTTTGTGACCCAAAAGAGAAATAAATGCTCACAAGTGCTGTAGAATTAAACTTCAGAAGTTCTAACCTAAAAAGTTCAGATCCTATTCCTTCCCTTTTGACATTATTGGGATGATGCTCCCGAAAAGTCAAATTTGACATCAAGTATGCAAAAGTGAACACAGTAAGATGCAATCAGGCAAAACAAACTCAAAAAATAGCTAATGAAATGAAAAAACTGGGCGAATGCATCATGTTAGTAGAGGAGGAAAACTTTTGACAAGGAAAAACCAGGAAACAAACACATACATTAACACAATGTTACCTCACTAATAATCTCTTTTTTAAGTTCAGTAGGTATTTGGTTTTAACACAAGGCGCCCCCAAAACTGGGTACAGCAAACTACTGCCAAAATGAGTCGTTTCCCAATTCAAAGAAAAATGTTCAAATACCTAGAATTCACAAATTTCAAATTGTCTCTAATAAAATTTAAACATTTTGCATATCATATGTAAATAAGGATCAAGTAAATGATTAACAACTAATATTAACAATTACAAAAAGTCAATCATGCTTATTAGTTACTTGGGATTTTTATCATTTTGTATGGTCAGGTACAAATGAAACCAAGACAATATAGTTTTCGGGTATCAGTTTGGCAAATGTGCAGGACTAACAAGTACTCCCAACACCAAAACGAGAAACACAGATTTGGGTTACTAACATCCTCTTAAAAACGCAGATTTTTGACAAGGCTACCACCTATCATTTTTACTTATTATATCCATATATACCTACCTGTTCAAATTGTTTTCTCTATTATCTAACCAACATCATCTGCTAGGAGACTTGGTTACATACAAGTTATGTAAGAACACATTTGTTTAGCTTTTGAGGAAGACAGGGTTGGCCTCAAACCATTCTTAGAAAGGAATAAAGATGGCCGGATGCAGTAGTTCACACCTGTAATCCCAGCACTTTGGGAGGCCGAGTCGGGCAGATCATGAGGTCAAGTGATTGAGACCATCCTGGCCAAAATGGTGAAACCCCATCTCTACTAAAAATACAAAAATTAGCCAGGCATGGTGGCACACACCTGTAGTCCCAGCTACTCGGGAGGCTGAGGCAGGAGAATCACTTGAACCCCAGAAGCAGAGGTTGCAGTGAGCCGAGATAGCACCACCGCGCTCCATCCAACCTAGCAACAGAGCAAGACCCTGTCTAAAAAAAAAAAAAAAAAGCAAGGAATAAAGATGAAACTAATATAAACATAGAAAACAAAGGTTAAACCATGCCCTACAAAGGCAGGTCCTAAACCTTTCCTTAGGATTACATCCACACTCCTCATGGTATCTGAAGCCTGGTTTTGAGAGTCCCTTTTTGAGACATAATTGTTATCTCCCTGCCATTTTTTTCAAAAGAAGGAATTTATCGTACTCCCTAACACCTCTAAGATTAAAAGTAGCTTAATTCTTGGCTGGGCACAGTGGCTCACACCTGTAATCCCAACACTTTGGGAGGCCAAGGCAGGCAGATAGATTATTTGGAGTCAGGAGTTCAAGACCAGCTTGGCCAACATGGTCAAACCTCATCTCTAATAAAAATACAAAAATCAGCCAGACATGGTGGTGGGATATTCCAGCTCCTGGGAGGCTAAGACATTAGGATCACTTGAGCCTGGGAAGTGGAGGTTCCAGTGAGTCAAGACACCACCACTGCACTCCAGCCTGGGTGACCAAGCAAGACTCTATCCCAAGAAAAAAAAAGAAGACTGGCAGAGTGGCTCACGCCTGTAAACCAAGCACTTTGAGAGGTTGAGGTGGGTGTATCACTTGAGGTCAGGAGTTCGAGACCAGACTGGCTAACAGGTTAAAACCCCGTCTGTACTAAAAATACAAAAAAAAAAAAAAAATAGCTGGGCATGGGGATGGGCACCTGTAATCCCAGCTACCTGGGAGGCTGAGGCAAGAGAATCGCTTGAACCCAGGAGGCAGAGGCTGCAGTGAGCCAAGATCGCCCAAACTGGGCAACAGCAAGACTCCATCTCAAAAAAAAAAAAAAGTTTGTCTGATTGTCTAGGGGTAGAGGGGAAGAACATCAACATACTACCATACTGCACTGAGGAGCATGTTTTAAAAGCCCAAGGGTGAGAAGCTGCTTTTGATAGCAACTTCAGGCTAAGTACTGCCTTCAGAGACGCTAAGAAAATCTAGATTTAACCATTTATTAAAATAAACCTAGTTCTCTCAACTAATTCAACAGGTATACCAACTCCTAAACTCAGCCTCTTACTGCAATTAGCAGTTTTAAGCTTCCGTGGCCTGTTCTAGTCTTAGAAACAGCTGGGGAGTGGCCTTTTAAAAATTAAGGATACCAAAAACCTTTCAATTCTCCCAAATGGAGATTCCCACTTCCCAATCCGCATGCTTTCGGGAAGCTAAAAGCTACATTTTTCTAGTGCTTCTAATTCTGCCTTCTTCCAAATCCCTGAAAAGCTAGGGGCAAAAATCTTTACGTGAACAGTGACAGTGTGGTGTGGGGGTCTTAGGAATCAGACTTCCTAGATTTTAACACCAATCCATCCCTGTTCTTTGAAAAATTCCTGAATTCCCACCAGTAAAATGATGGTATTAGATTCAGTCAACACAGAGGTAATGGCACTTAAAACAGTGCCTGGCTATTACTATCAGATGCTATATAGATGTTATTCACTGGTTCCCAGTATTTATGTAGTCTAGCCCCCACAGAACTAAGAATATATCTAAGTGTCTTGAGACTCCTGTATTAACAAAGCTCATTTTCTACACATCTAAGACAGGGCTTGAAAGATCACATATAGAAGTCTAAGGTTAATGTGGATATAGGACCTTAGGCATTTTGCACTATTGTTTTCCCTTAAACATGTACTATCCCATACATATCTCAAGACAAAAAGTAGCATGTCAAAGCCCCTTAAGCATTCACGTTATCTGACCACCAAAACTGCATCACAACTGGATAAAGTGGTTCACACCTATAATCCCAGCACTTTGGGAGGCCAAGTTAGGAGAATCACTTGAGGCCAGTTCAAGACCAGTATGGGCAACATAGCAAGACCCTGTCTCTAGAAAAATAAAAAATTAGCCACACACAGTGGTGCACACCTATAGTCTTAACTACTCAGGAGGCAGAGGCGGGACAATTGTTTGAGCCCAGGAGGTTAAGGCTGCAGTGAGCAGTGATCACACCACCACATTCCAGCCTAGACAAACAGAACAAGATCCTGCCTCAAAAAAAAACAAAAACAAGGCCGGGCACAGTGGGTCATGCCTGTAATTCCAGTACTTTGGGAGGCCAGGCAGATGGATCACCTGAGGTTAGGAGTTCAAAACCAGCCTGGCCAACACGGTGAAACCCGTCTCTACTAAAAATAAAAATTAGCTGGGCATGGTGGCACATGCCTGTTATCTCTGCTACCTGGGAGGCTGAGGCAGGAGAATCGCTTGAACTTGGGAGGCAGAGGTTGCAGTGAGCCAAGATCGCACCATTGCACTCCAGCCCGGGCAACAAGAGCAAAACTCCATCTCAAAAACAAAACAAAAAAACCTGTCCTAATCTTTAAGGTAGGCAAGAAACACTGCTTCCCACACTATCCTCCTCTTGGCTCTGGAAGCTTAAGTAACCTGATGCCAATAAATTCAGGAGATAGAGAAAGAACTTTGGGGGACAGGGGGGCCACGGACACAAAACTCAACAATTGTGATTTTGGCATTCACTTACTTCTGTATCTTTTCACTAGCCTGGAGACGTCAAAAACATTATTTTTAAAGAGAGACCGTAACCAACTCCAGGATTCTGGATGTGTTCTGTGTTTTAAATCTACTGTATAAGGATGAGAAATAATCAGCATAGGACTTCTTCAGACAAACAGACAAAAAGTAGTTTTATAATATTTTATTATCAATAACAAACAGCTGCTCTAATGTGTCTGTCCAGCAGCTGTTAAAGAGTGGAGGACACCCTTGACCCTAACAAGGAAAACAAATTAAGCCTTTATGTACAAGCAAATTTAGAGCTCTTTTAAGTGTCCAAAGCTATTAATTAGTTTAATTAAGGCATTAAACTAATTCTGAATTAACATTTTTATAACCAAGAACTAAAATGTTCAAATTTTTTTCTAGTACAAAAAAATTAAATTTGCTTTAGTTATAAAAGAGCTCTGTCAATATACACAAACTATATACTTCAGACATTCACAAAAATGTGAGCAGAAGGCTTATCAAAAGACATTTAATACAATTAGTTTTCAACAACCCCTTGGTGGTCCACATCTACAAAGATATCCAGCCCAACCCAACCCCCCTTCCAAATCCCACCCCCACAGAAAAGCACATACTTACCAGAATTTTTAGCAAGTATGGTTTGGGAATTTTTGTGGTTTTTGTTTTTTAAAAAAAGGCCCCCAGGGCAAGTTATTTACAGTTTAATTGCCACTGTCAACTGATCTGGACCTTGATCGGGACCGGGACCTCTGGCGATCCACAGATGCTGGAGACTTAGATCTACTTGAAGAACCACGTTTCTGGCTCTTCTCAGGCACGGGAGACCTACTAACAGAACGGGACTTGCTCCGGCTCCGGCTCCTGCTCCTGCTTCTTGACCGGCTGTAAGATTTGCGACTACGGGAACGGGATCGGCTACGAGACCTAGAGGAACTTCTGGTCCGGGATCGAGACCTGCTTCTTGACCTACTATGAAAAATGAAAAGAAATCAGCCTAGATAAGACTCTACAACAAACCCATTAAATACAACTTTTGACTTTAAAAAATTAGAGATACCTGTGCCTTTTGCTGCCTTCAATTAATTTTATTTTTCTCCCATTTATTTCCTTTCCAGAAAGTTTTTCAATAGCATTCTTTAAGTCACCATAAGAGGCAAACTCAACCACCCTAAAATGGAAAACAGCCACTTTTAAAGTATATACATCCTGTAGTCTCACACATTGCACACAGCAGTCTAGGTAAGTCGTTTCTATGTTCACTTTTGCTATTGCTACTATTGAGTCTTATTTCTGGATAACACAGCATTAAAAGAGCAAAGTTTTGGCACTGTTATACTTTGAGCCAATTCATTGTTGAGGGGGTTCCCTATGCACCGTGGGATGCTTAGCAGGATGCCTAGCCCCTACTGACTACATGCCAACAGCATCCTCTCTCAACCAGTTGTGACAACCAAACTTGTCTCCAGACACTGCCAAAGGTGTGGGGGGGAGGAGGGAAGCAGCAAAATTGTCTCTGGAGAATCTCTGCATTCTAACATATTCAAATTTTAAGTCCTCAAAACTAAGTTCACAGTAAAATTTTCCGGATATTTTTAAAGACTTTCACAGTTTCCAGTACATACCCTTCATTTAATTTAGGTCGGTGTGCATCCGCAAACGTTACTTCCCCAGCTTGTCTCATGAAATCTTTGAGATCCTTAACACAAGATAATTGTGTTAAGCAAAGAAGAGGAAAGGGGACACACAAACAATCACATGATATAAAAAAAACAAGACTACTGAAAGAGAAGATGTTAGATAAAGTACAAACATGGCATTTACCACACTTGTATTCTATCAGAATTCAAAAATTATCTATGTCAGGGCACGGAATAAGCAAATAGCATATTGCTTTTAAGCAAAATGCTAAAAGAAATTCAGATTTTAACATTAAGGTAGTATTAGTCTATGCTGAGCTCAGTACAAAAGAAAAAAAAACAAACAAAAAAACAACAAAAAAGGAAACAGTACATATTTTTAAAGTAAAGACTAAAGTAGAGAAGTTTTATTTAAAAAAACAGAACATTTACAAGACACCAGTTATTTTGTGCCCCATATGTCATTAAAAAAGTTTACTTTACCTTTATTATTATTTCCCTAGGCTAGTCAAGCAGCAAACCATTAATCGGTCGGAGAAACCTTCATGACATATGCCCGACTGGCTCTTCGCCACCCACTTGAAGGACACTACCCAATCGATGGAAGCCTTTAATCGCACAGCCCTCCCTATTAGCGGACTATTGGCGGATGCAGACATGTTCTACTCGAGCAGTTACCAAGGACCACTTTACTGCGATCAGGATTCCAACGACCACCTAATTTCGTATCTTTCAACTCTTTTCGACCGGACCTCTTATTCGGAAGCGTTACAGGAAGACAGGTCTCAACTTAGGGATCAGATCACGTTATCAACGCTCTGGGATCGCTGCAACCTGGCACTTCAAGGAAGTGCACCGATAACGTCTAGACCGGCAAACACAGATCTAGAGGTGGCCAACTGATCACTGTAGGAGCTGACTGGCAAAGTCAACCAGGCCCAACCAAGAGTGACCAAGACAACGATTAGGATAACCCACAGGCACTCCTCGTCATAAGGCCAACGACACAGACAGGCTGGCAAATAAAGGGTTTAATATTTGGTTAAAAATTGATTTTAAAAAACAAGAAAAATATCCTCAAAACATTTACATTTGATCACTAATATTAAAGTTCAAAATATCCCCCAAATTACATTTAATTAAATGTTTAAAATTACAATTCCATTAAATCCATTAATTTAAAACTACTTTTAATAAAACAATACAACATTAGCTACCCATTAACTTTTTTAAAAAGCCACATCAAAATAACTCAAAACTGTATTTCAACAAACCTGCCAGCTGACTCTTGAGGATAAATTCTCAACTATAAGACGATTTTCTGTTCTTACAGGTGGAGCATTTCTGAGGAAGAAAATTCGTATTCACAATGGAAGAAATGCAATGACAGCACTTGTGTTCAACTGTGGGCAAGTTCAAGCCATCAGATATCACAAGCCATTCTAATGACTTCCGTCAATAGATTTGTGTTCTATGACTCATATAGATTCATCAAGAACAACTGGCTAACGTGGGAATAGAAGAACAGATTATACGGCAGGACCCAAAATCATCACTGCTAATGACTCCTGAATCTTAAATGCTACCCCTACAATAATTGTTCAATGCAGCCATCCACCCTTCACATACCGTCTATCATTTCGAGGTCTGCGACTACTAAAACGGTCAGAGTATCGTCCTCTACCTCTTCCACCTCGTGACCGAGCCCTAGCATGTTCAATAGTAACCCTACAAAAAGGGAAGAAAAATCTCCGTTACACACTTAAGCTACATAAATCTACTTAGAAAAATATGCCAGCAGACCCAGTCTGCTCTATGTCCCAGGGTTATCTAGTTACACAGGAATCTCACCTTTCACTACAGAGTTCTTTTCCATCAAGCTCATACACAGCATCATCTGCATCCCTTGGATCCTCAAATTCCTAAAATGTAAGCATAAGACTCTTAACATTGGCTTTAGAAGAGTATTCTACAACACATTAAGAGCACTGAAATCAGGAGACAGAATGGGAAGAGTATCTTAACGACACTGCCATACAGTCAAACCTAATCAAGGAGCCACTGGGAGTGGGGTTCCAGTGAGCCGGCAAGTTAAAGTTGTTTTCAGCCTCAATAAAATTCAGACATAAGGCTGGGTAACATTTTCTGAAGGCAAATATTCCACCCGGACTCAAGATCGAAAACAACTGCTTATCAAAACTCTACCTACTTAGCAGATAATTCACCCAGTTCTAAATACTTACCACAAAACCAAAGCCTCTTTTCAGATCAATATCTCTTATCCGTCCATATCCCTTGAAGAATCTTTCCACGTCCTTCTCCCTGGCCGCTGGATTTAGTCTCCCGATGAATACCCGACAGCCACTCATGATGTCCGGCTAGTACTTCCTATTAGAAAGTAATTCAATCGAGATAATAGCAATGACTGTCACAGAGAAACGCCTGATTAAACAATCAAAAACATCAACGGCATAAAATGTTTACACAGTGATGTTATGAACGAGATTGCCAACAGAGCCTCTAATGAGGCCAGGTTACCTGCAGACAAAATGAAAACCCAGCTCCCTCCCAACACGGTCCGCTACTGGGCCCAGACCGCAGCAACCGCAACGCCCACTGCCACCTTTCCAACTGCGCAGCCGCACACTCTCCGGGCTCTCCGGCCCCCTCCCATCTGCCGCAGTTAGGAAAGGCCGAGAAGTGCGGGCGGAGCCGCCCGCGCCCTCCGCAAAGCCAGCCCAATGGCGGCCTCGCGGGCGCGTCACAGCGGGTGGAAGCCAGAATCTCGCGACGCCTCGACCGCGCCTGCGCCAACAGCAGCGGGCGGGCGCTCTGCGGCCACAAAATGGCGGCGGTGGAATCAAAGGCAGCAGAGCTGCGCGTGCCAAATTCCCTCTTCCCTTCTCCTCCCAGCAACCCCCTTCTCGGGGGTCACTGCGGCCGCCCTACAAAAGGCCCAGCCGCATCGCCAGCAAAGTCAGGGAGATCCCGGCCCACTATTCTACGTGTCCAGGAGATGAAGACATTAAGACTGGCAGGGACGGGCGCACAACCGCTGTGTAAAAACGACCCGAACAGTGACCGCCCTTTCACCTCAGTACCCCTCAAACAGTATGCCAAAAGGGAGACGTGCCCCAGCGCCCACCTCGAATCAACTGCGCTCATTAGACGCCATCCTCCGCAAAGAGAGCAGCCCCGGCCGCTCACGATCTGAGCGGCCATGAAGAAGCCTCGATCCGAGAAGGCTTGCCCTCAAAGTGAGCCACTCACCTACCGGACGGGGTCTTTGGCGGCTGAGACCCAGACAGGTCCGTAGTCTGCGACGGAGTCGTCGACCTCCACGCAGACCAGGACTTAACTCGTCTACGCCACTCCACAACTGACGCACTTAGCAGCTCTGGCGCTCCACAAAATGGAGGGCGCGTCCTACGTCACTTCCGGGGACGCCCCTGGGCCTTGGGTCCACCCCGTTGGACCTAGGGAAGACGGAAGTTTTGGGAGGGCCGGAAATTTAGGAGGATGTGGGCCTCTCTGACACTGCGAGTGACCGAACCCTGCTCCCGCGGTGGGTGGGGTCGGGGGCGAGAACTCGTTTGGGCTCGGCCGGCTGGTGCCGGAGTCTGGAGGGACATCTGTTGACGTCGTTCGCCCCTGCTAAGTCCTTGGCGTTCGGTTCATCATCATCTCTCCCAGAAGAGTCTCCTGAGAAAAGTGGCAACCCTTCTTGTATCTAAAGTTTTTCTTAGACACCCAGAAGATTACTAATTAGGAGAAACTTAGCTTTGCAGAAATACCTGGCCTTTCCTTAGCTCTTGCTGCTTGCAATTTAAATTTGCCCTCAAAGCAGGGAGCTCCTAGATGTTCGAGTTCTTTTTTCAACCATGCCACAGCTGTGTGGTTTTGTTGTGGTGAGAAGACTAAGGCACTGAAGTATTTTTTAAATGAAAGGATTTTCACTGATGAAATGTTGAAAATGGGACTGCAGCTAGAAGGCTGTCTTGAATTGAGGCTGGAATACAGATTTCTGCATGTCCGTCACTCTGGGAGAGTGGCTGGAAGAGGTTTCAAGCTGTTTTTTGTTGTTTTTTTTGAGACAGTCTTGCTCTGTCGCCCAGGCTGGAGTGCAGTGGCGCGATCTGGGCTCCGCCTCCCGGGTTCACGCCATTCTTCTGCCTCAGCCTCCCGAGTAGCTGCGACTACAGGCGCCCGCCACCACACCGGCTAATTTTTTTGTATTTTTAGTAGAGACGGGGTTTCACCGTGTTAGCCGGGATGGTCTCGATCTCCTGACCTCGTGATCGGCCCGTCTCGGCCTCCCAAAGTGCTGGGATTACAGGCATGAGCCACCGCGCCCGGCCTCAAGCTGCTTTTAAGTCCAAATGGTATTTGGTTAATCCTCTCCGTTCAGATTTCTGTAATGTAACACATGAAAGTTTACAATTCTTTAGAAACAGACAATGCCGTGCTTTCAAAGTGGGTGTAAAACACAGCCCTCCATATTAACTCCCGCGTTGTCCCGATAAGGTTGGTAGACCTAGAAACTTAGGCATAAAGAGATTGCTTAACTTCGCTTTAATGCTTTTATGTAGAACCCAGTGCACCCCATTTTTGAGAAGTGCCTGGAATGTGGAGTTGCATGCTTGCAACTAGAGTTAAACAGAGAAAAAGTAGTTCCGGAAGGAGAGCAACTGACCCTTAACTCGACCTCAGGGGCCTTTAGGCACTCAGAACTGAAACTTGGATAGTTTGTAAGGGATAAGCTTGTCCATTCATAGTTATATGTACAAATAAAAAGAGCCTCAGTGAAGTTAGTTACCTATAATGTGGGAGTTAAGGATGGGTTTATAACACAATATGTATTTAATGTATTTGTTCAATGAAAAGAAAAAAATGTTACCTAGTTGTTGGCCTGATGAACATTGGCATTTTATAATGCACAAATTGTCCCAAACCAGTTGGTATTTAATTACATTTGTTTGGTTTCTGCATAATAAACAAGTCTTCCGATTACTTTCTACATTTATGTTTACTGTGAAAGCAACTATTTTTATTTCACTCACTACCACTTTTTTGTTTTTTTTTTTTTTTTTTTTTTTGAGACGGAGTCTCGCTCTGTCGCCCAGGCTGGAGTGCAGTGGCGGGATCTCGGCTCACTGCAAGCTCCGCCTCCCGGGTTCACGCCATTCTCCTGCCTCAGCCTCCCAAGTAGCTGGGACTACAGGCGACCGCCACTACGCCCGGCTAATTTTTTGTATTTTTAGTAGAGACGGGGTTTCACCATTTTAGCCGGGATGGTCTCGATCTCCTGACCTCGTGATCCGCCCGCCTCGGCCTCCCAAAGTGCTGGGATTACAGGCGTGAGCCACCGCGCCCGGCCTTGTTTTGTTTTTAAGGCTAGTAAAGTGAACCAGTGCGACTGGAGAAGGAACAAACAACTACACTTTATTTTGGCTGCAATAAGAAAAAGTAATCTGGAAAAGATTTTCTGGTGGTGAAAAAAAAAAATGGTGCTGACTGGGCGTGGTGGCTCACGCCTGTAATCCCAGCACTTTGGGAGGCCGAGGCAGGCAGATCACCTGAGGTCAGGAGTTCGAGACCAGCCTGAGCAACATAGAGAAAGCCCGTCTCTACTAAAAATACAAAATTAGCCGGGCATGGTGGTGAATGCAAAATTAGCTGGGCATGCTACTTGGGAGGCTGAGGCAGGAGAATCGCTTGAACCTGGGAGGTGGAGGTTGCGGTGAGCTGAGATCACGCCATTGCACTCCAGCCTGGGCTCGAAACTGCATCTCACCAAAAAAAAAAAAAAAAGATGGTGCTGTACACCATGGAAACAGTTGCTACCTTCAGCTCATGGTGTTGATTTTCTTCAGGACCAATTTTTTAATGAACCCTTTTCTCTGATTTATTTATTATTTAAAATGTTATGAGTCCCACAAAAGTAATTTTTCCTTAGTAGTGCCTAGAGACAATATTTTAAAACACTTGTCTTCTGCAGTGTTGGCTTTTGCCATGACAACCATCTAATCTCAAGTCTCCCTATTTGTGTTAGTCTGTTCCCACACTACTATAAAAAAACTATCTGAAACTGGGTAATTTATGAAGAAAGGAGGTTTAGTTGACTCACAGTTGCATAGGCTGTACAGGAAGCATCACTGGGAGGCCCGAGGAAACTTACAGTCGTGGCAGAAGGCAAATGGGAAGTGAGCACTCTCTTCACATGATGGCAGGAGAGAGAGAGAAAGCAAGGGGTGGAGTGCCTCACACTTTTAAAAACCATCAGATCTTGTGAGAACTCACTATCACAAGAACAGAATGGGGGAAATCCGCCCCATGAGCCAATCACCTACCACCAGGTTCCTCCCCGAACACTGGGTATTACAACTCAACATGAGATTTGGGTGGGGACACAGAGCCAAACCATATCACTATTGGACTGTTTCTTACCAATTTCTCTAATAAATACAAAGTCATCTTCCATGATCAGAATTACTCTTCCTCCTATGTGTTCCTACAATATTCTGTTTATACCTCTGTTATACAGTCATCACTGATTCATATATGTTATTCATGTTTTCCAGAAATGCACAGCACCAAAAAGACTCAATATTTATAGACCTGGATTTGCATGAGCATTTTTTTCAGGTCGTCCTATTCCTATATTAATGTTTCAACAAAATGGCTTGGCATCTTTTTCTTAAGACATCCAAATTAGAAGCAAATCTTTTTTTTTTTTTTTTTGGAGACGGAGTCTCTCTCTGTCACCCAGGCTGGAGTGCAGTGGTGTGATCTTGGCTCACTGCAACCTCCGCCTCCCGGGTTCAAGCAATTCTCCCGCCTCAGCCTCCCGAGTAGCTGGGACTACAGGCACACGCCACCATGCCTGGCTAATTTTTTGTGTTTTAGTGGAGTGGTTGTGGGGGAACAAAAGAAGAAGAATATCTGATAGCACATGAAAATTATATGAAATTTAAAGGTCAGTATCCATAAATGAATAAATTTTTGGAACACAGCCACTCCTGTTCATTTACTTATTGCCTATATCTGTTGTGCTACAAAGGCGGGGCTGAGTAGCTACGGTAGAGGCCATATGGCCTGAAAGCCTAAAATATTTACTGTCTGGTCCTTTACAGAAAACATTTGCTGATGGGGTGGGGTAGATAAGAGAGATTGATTAGTAAGTACAAACATACAGTTAGATAGAAGGAATAAGATCTAATATTCAATCGCAGAATAGGGGACTATATAAACAACAATGTATTTTATATTTTAGAACAGCTAGAAGAGAGGACTTAAA